>NC_000012.12:37914673-38066188 GCF_000001405.40 Homo sapiens | reverse complement strand
CATGAAAGGACTTTACTTTTTCTTTCTGTTGATAAATAGTTTATCTGGATATAGTATTCTTGCTTAAAAGTTTCTGTTCTTTCAGCACGTTGACTATATTACCCATGTCCCTTCTGGCCGGCAAGATTCCTGCAGCTAGATGCACTTGTTATCTCATAGAAGCACCCTTATAAATGACACATAGCTTTTCTTTTTTGGCTTTCAAGATTATCTACTAGTCTGTGACTTTCAAAACTTTGCTTATAATTTTTCTTATTATAAAACTTTTTCTGTTTATCCTGGTTAAAATTTGTTGAACATTTTAATGTTTACGTTTTTTTCCTTAAGCTTAACAATTTCTCAGGAATTGTTTCTTTTTATATTCTTCAACTCCATAATTTGCTTTTTAATATTTTTTATCTTATTGTTTATGTTCTCATTTTCCTGATTTTATTCAGTTGTCTGTGCTCACATTTTGCTCACTGAGCACCATTTACATAATTATTTTTAAAATTTTTAGGTAATTTATACATCTCTATTTCTTTAGGGTAGTTTTCTGGATATTTATCTTGTTTTTCTTATTGGGCAATATTACCCTAATACTTTGTATATACTGTAATTTTTGGCTGATTATATTATATTACATTATATATGTCCATTAAACTTGGGCATTTAAAAAAATCACTAGTCACAATTTTCACATAGTGGCTTTGTCCAGAGAGAGTCTGGTTGGCTTAGAAATTCTGAATGTCTCTCAAACCTTTTCTCAAGATTCATTTTCTTTTATTACCTTTGGTATCAGCCAAACTAATTTGTCATTTAAAGTATACCACCATGTCTTTGAGCATTCTGAAGCCAGGAGCTGGGAGTCCATTCCTAGATGCACCATGCTGTACTGGGAAGGAGAAAGAACTGTGGTGTGTAAATGTAACAAACATTACTTTTTTTTTTTTTTTTTTTTGAGACACGATTTAATTCTTGTTGCCCAGGCTGGAGTGCAATGGCATGATCTCGGCTCACTACAACCTCTGCCTCCTAGGTTCAAGCAATTCTCTTGCCTCAGCCTCACGAGCAGCTGGGATTACAGGCATGCACCACCACGCCCGACTAATTTTGCATTTTTAGTAGAAATGGGTTTTCTCCATGTTGTTCAGGCTGGGCTCAAACTCCTGACCTCAAGTGATCCACCTGCCTTAGCCTCCAAAAATGCTAGCATGACAAGCATGAGCCACTGCACCTGGCCACAAACACCCCTTCTTGTGAGTGTGGAAGACATGCATGTCCCTGACAAAAAAAGTTTTAGACTTTAAAAAAAATTTGATATGGGGTTGAGGGTAATCTAACCACTAATACCTGCAAGAAATCCTCATGGAATTTTGTCAACTGTGAAGCAACAGCACCCATCCATATTAATAGGCTGTATAAAGTGTGTTTTCCCACTGAGTTCTCCAAAAATGTCCTCAGTGTAGAGATGAGTAAACACAGGCTTCGCAATTTCAAATGGCTGCTGAACAGCACGTGGGTCAGAACTAAGAACCTTTCACAGAGAGGGCTGCATGAAATTCCCTCTAAATTACCTGAAACAGTGGCTTCTGACATTGCATGCAAGAACCTGGAGAAGCCTTATTTCCTCTTCATTTTGGAGACAGTGAACAGGGCAAGACAGCTTAGAAGAACACTTTGAATTAAAGCAATATATTGTTTTTCTTTCTTTAATATTAAAGAAAGTCTTAAGAAACAGACACAACATTTTCAGACCTGGTAAGAAGACAAATGCTGGCAGACTCCAGGATTAATGACAGAGCCAAAGATCTGAGGGGGTAACTGGAGGAACAGAAAACCCAAATCCATATTTAAAATAACAACTAAAAAGTGACTCAAACATATCAGTTGGAAAACTGGAAATAAAAGGACCAATGTGTTTTTATCGGCCCACAGACATGAGATTGTCAAAAAATTAAAAGAATGTTAACATCCAGCAGAGGCTGGGTCCAGAGAAGCAGCTATATTCAGGGACTGTTGATGACAGTGTAATTGACACAGACCTTGTGGAAAGTCACCTGGCTGTAGCTATAAAAATTTTACATATATACATATGTATATATGTGATCACCTAGTATTTATTACTAGAACATATATTAGATTACACCTAATATATGTAATCACCCAGTAATCACCTTCCTGGCAATCTACCATGAATGCATATTATGTTCTAAATTGTGTCCCTTCTCCCAAATTTATATGTCGATATTCTAATATTTATATGTTGACATTCTAAGGCATATATAATGTAATCAGCCTCAAAGTATGAGTGAGTGTTTGGACATATGGTTTTTAAAGAAGTGACTGTGATTAAGTTCAGTAAAGTGGACCCTAATCTAACATGACTGGAGTCCTTTTAAAAAGAGTAAAGACACAGAGGCTCAAGGGAAGACCCTGTGAAAACAGAAATACAAGGTAGTCAACTAATCTCAAGTAGAAAGCGGCATTAGAGAAACCACTTCAGCCAATAGCTTGATGTTCAATTTCTAGCCTCCAGAATTATGAGAAATTCAGTTTCCATTGAGAACTTCAGTCCACCGAACTGGGTTATGGAAACCCAAGCAAACTGTTACAGCCAATCATGACACACAGATAATGTTTTCTGCATTACAGCTAAAATGAAAATAGAATGTTATCATGGCAGGCTCCACCGGCATTGAAAGGCTAACCCACTTTGGGAAATGATCTCCTTTTATAGAACATTACAAAGACATGTGAAAGCATAGCTTCTGCCCTGATGGGCTACAGAGATGAGTTCTCTGAGATGACACATTGCAGACAAATGCAGGGAACAATGTAACTTTTATTTTATGTAACCTCTTTCCTATTTTTGTGTAAAAAGCTCCCTAGTAATAGTCGTGGATTTTACGTCTCAGAGAAAGTCTGGCAGTACAGTGAAGCTGCCTACTACAGAAGATACTTGGGGTAAATAGTTAAAACAATACAAACTATAGCAACATGAATAAATACAGCCTACTGTAAAGTAAAAACAACACAAAGGGCTTCTCTGGTATTTCTACAAGTATGTAAACAGGGACTTTACACCTAACCAAGTTGGCATTGGGATTAATGAAGGCCAGAATTTTGACGGCAGAACTTTGGTTCACTCAGAGACAAAAGCTCTAAGACAGAGCCCAGAGGGAGTCCATGTTTGGGTCTGGGTTTTGGGCCCATCCTGGCCTTGTCAGGCCCCTGTCTCTAGAGACTCCCATGTGCCTGCTCTCACCATAGCTCACTGTGGGCCATGCTTGGTGGTATTATGATCCTACCCCTTGTCCAAGGAGATGGGGAGTTGAACCCATTAAACAGCTGCTCACTGATTTTATTTATTTATTTATTTATTCAGGATTTTATTTCAATTTATTTAGTGTACATTTCAGATGTACAGCATGATGTTTTGATACTCTTACACATAGTAAAATGACTACTATAGTGAAGCAAATGAACATATCCATCATCTCACATGGTTAACCACCCCTACTTTTTGTTACAAGAGCACCTATAATTCATAGTATTAGCAAAAATCGTGACTACAACACAATATTATTAACCTAGGGTCCTCACATTGTGAATTACACCTCTGGACTTATTCGCCTTACATATCCTTACATATCTGCAACTCTGTGTCCTTTGACCAACATCCCCTCATTTCCTCTCGCTCCCAAACCCCTGTCTCTGTTAACCACAGTTTTATTTTCTATTTCTATATATTTTGGGAGATTTTAAGAAAGGTGGCAGTAGGATTTTCCTCTCTCCCTGAAAAGATTGTGCTAGCTGTGTTGGAGTGTGCTAGCTGTGTTGGAGGGTACTAGCTGTCTGGAGGCGGGCAGTGCAGCCAGGAAGCTGTGCAGGTGGAAAGGGAGCAGGTGGGGCTTAGAGGTAGCTGCTCCACGCGTGCTGGCCCACAAACTATCGGCTAAACGTGGGGCTTATAGTTTGTATATCTAAGTTGTCTGATAATTTGTATTTTTTTTTCTTTTTTTTCTTTTATTATTATACTTTAAGTTTTAGGGTACATGTGCCCATTGTACAGGTTAGTTTCATATGTATACATGTGCCATGCTGGTGCGCTGCACCCACTAACTCGTCATTTAGCATTAGGTATATCTCCCAATGCTATCCCTCCCCCCTCCCCCCACCCCACAACAGTCCCCAGAGTGTGATGTTCCCCTTCCTGTGTCCATGTGATCTCATTGTTCAATTCCCACCTATGAGTGAGAATATGTGGTGTTTGGTTTTTTGTTCTTGCGATAATTTACTGAGAATGATGATTTCCAATTTCATCCACGTCCCTACAAAGGACATGAACTCATCATTTTTTATGGCTGCATAGTATTCCATGGTGTATATGTGCCACATTTTCTTAATCCAGTCTATCATTGATGGACATTTGGGTTGGTTCCAAGTCTTTGCTATTGTGAATGGTGCCGCAATAAACATACCTGTGCATGTGTCTTCATAGCAGCATGATTTATAGTCCTTTGGGTATATACCCAGTAATGGGATGGCTGGGTCAAATGGTATTTCTAGTTCTAGATCCCTGAGGAATCGCCACACTGACTTCCACAATGGTTGAACTAGTCTACAGTCCCACCAACAGTGTAAAAGTGTTCCTATTTCTCCACATCCTCTCCAGCACCTGTTGTTTCCTGACTTTTTAATGATTGCCATTCTAACTGGTGTGAGATGGTATCTCACTGTGGTTTTGATTTGCATTTCTCTGATGGCCAGTATTCTTATACACCAACAACAGACAAACAGAGAGCCAAATCATGAGTGAACTCCCATTCACAATTGCTTCAAAGAGAATAAAATACCTAGGAATCCAACTTACAAGGGATGTGAAGGACCTCTTCAAGGAGAACTGCAAACCACTGCTCAAGGAAATAAAAGAGGATACAAACAAATGGAAGAACATTCCACGCTCATGGGTAGGAAGAATCAATATCGTGAAAATGGCCATTCTACCCAAGGTAATTTACAGATTCAATGCCATCCCCATCAAGCTACCAGTGACTTTCTTCACAGAATTGGAAAAAACTACTTTAAAGTTCATATGGAACCAAAAAAGAGCCCGCATCACCAAGTCAATCCTAAGCCAAAAGAACAAAGCTGGAGGCATCACGCTACCTGACTTCAAACTATACTACAAGGCTGCAGTAACCAAAAGAGCATGGTACTGGTACCAAAACAGAGATATAGATCAATGGAACAGAACAGAGCCCTCAGAAATAACGCCGCATATCTACAACTATCTGATCTTTGACAAACCTGAGAAAAACAAGCAATGGGGAAAGGATTCCCTATTTAATAAATGGTGCTGGGAAAACTGGCTAGCCATATGTAGAAAGCTGAAATTGGATCCCTTCCTTACACCTTATACAAAAATCAATTCAAGATGGATTAAAGACTTAAATGTTAGACCTAAAACCATAAAAACCCTAGAAGAAAACCTAGGCAATACCATTCAGGACATAGGCATGGGCAAGGACTTCATGTCTAAAACACCAAAAGCAATGGCAACAGAAGACAAAATTGACAAATGGGATCTAATTAAACTAAAGAGCTTCTGCACAGCAAAAGAAACTACCCTCAGAGTGAACAGGCAACCTACAAAATGGGAGAAAATTTTCACAACCTACTCATCTAACAAAGGGCTAATATCCAGAATCTACAATGAACTCCAACAAATTTACAAGAAAAAAACAAACAACCCCATCAAAAAGTGGGCAAAGGACATGAACAGACACTTCTCAAAAGAAGACATTTATGCAGCCAAAAAACACATGAAAAAATGCTCACTGATTTTAATGCAGCTCTGTGAAGAGAATGCCCAGCACCTAAGCCAAGCCCCCACCCCAAAAAATAGTTAATCGTCTCTCTTGTTTTTACCACAAGGTGACATCTCCATTAGAAATTCTGCTCCCCAGATCAGACACAGAGGAGCATCTGCATAGACCCCCAGCCCATGAGGAAAACAGAGGACAGCCTAAGGCCTTGGGATTTACATCTGAGTAGATACACTTGGTCCCCAACACTCAACTTTTTATTCAACTAGCCATTATCTGGGTGTGAACATGACAGACCCACCACGGTTCCAGCGCCTGGCAACCTGCCCATGTCAGGAAGATCCTCCTCCTTTCCTGCTCCCCATGCAACAAATGATTATGGTGGGCCAGGTGAGAATTCCCAGATTAGGTGACAAGAGAGACCTGGCATGGTCAGACCTGCCCTGGGCTACACTGTGTTACCTGTGGGTGCCTCTTGCTAAATGGACAGAGGCGTCAATGATGCCAGCTGAGCCAATGTCTATATTATTAGAAAAGGCTCTCACTTGGACCTTTCTAAGGCAAAACCTTAGGAATGTCACCATACAATAAGAACATAGTGTTCTCTTAAGCATCTCCCACGAAATGAGCCAGGTACAGGGCTGTCTCTCGAATGTGGGTGTCTGGTTTTCAAAGTTCTAAATTTTGTCAGGTTCTGTCACAAGAGAATTGTGTTAATTCTTCAAGGTTCCATCATCCCCTGAGTCCTTTTCTTCCATAAATGTATGCAAAGGCCCGGCACAGCTGCTGATTACTCACCCTCCTCTCCCATGTCAACTCTTCACCTGTAAACAATTATACAAACACAAGCCCCTTACCTCCTGAAAACATCTAAATGTAGCCAGGGCCCCAGGCTTGAGGGAACAGAGCTGGGTTAGAATATTCTTTTTCTTCTCATTTCTGTGATCATATAAAAGTCATTGTGTGTTTCAGGTCTCCCCAGCCCTGAAATATGCACAATGGGGATTATGCTAGCATCGACTTCCAAAAAAACTCTTTGAGTATGTATGAGATAGAGTGAATAAAATTAAGTTAGGTGCAGTGGCTCATGCCTGTAATCCCAGCACATTAGGAGGCCAAGGCGGGTGGATCAACTTAAGGCCAGGAGTTCGAGACCAGCCATGGCCAACATGGCAAAAACTCAGGAGGCTGGGTGCAGTGAGTCACTTGAACCAGTGAAGTGGAGGTTGCAGTGAGCCGAGATTGCGCCATGGTGCTGCAGCCTAGGTGACAGAATGAGACCCTGTCTCAAAATAATAATAATAATAATAATAATAATAATAATAATAATAATAATAATAATAAAAAGATTATCTTGGCATAGTGGTGCATGCCGCTAGTCCCAGCTACTTGGGAGGCTGAGATAAGGAGAAGATCACTTGAGGCCTGAAAGATTGAGGCTGCAGTCAGCAGTGACCCACCTTAACCTGGGAAATCCTGTGAGAAAGAAAGAAAAGAAAGAAAAAGAAAGAAAAAGAAAGAAAGAAAGAAAGAAAGAAAGAAAGAAAGAAAGAAAGAAAGAAAGAAAGAAAGAGAAAGAAAGAAAGAAAGAAAGAAAGAACCAAAGGCAGGTGGATCACTAGGTCAGGAGATCAAGACCATCCTGGCCAACATGGTGAAACTCTGTCTCTACTAAAAATACAAAAATTAGCCAGGCGTGGTGGTGCATGCCTGTAATTTCAGCTACTCAGGGGGCTGAGGTAGCAGAATGGCTTGGACCAGGGATTCGAAGACTGCAGTGAGCTGAGATCATGCTACAGCAGTCCAGCCTGGTGACAGAGCTAAAAAAAAAAAAAAAAAGAAAACTGTAATTCAAGCTTGGTAACCATCCCATGTGCATCTCATACTGAATCTATCCATTTGTCAACTCTAAGATCTATATTTTCCATATTTTCCATCTTTCCATCTTTCTTTCTTTCTTTCTTCTTTCTTTCTTTCTTTCTTTTTTTTTTTTTTTTTTTTTTTTGAGACGGAGTCTCCCTCTGTCACCCAGGCTGGAGTGCAGTGGTGCAAGCTCGGTTCACTGCAACCTCCACCTCCCGGGTTAAAGCGATTCCCCTGCCTCAGCCACCCAAGCGGCTGGGACTACAGGAGTACACCACCAAGCCTAGCTAATTTTTGTATGTTTGGTAGAGACGGGGTTTCACCATATTAGTCAGGCTAGTCTTGAACTCCTGAGCTTGTGATCCACCTGCCTTGGCCTACGAAAGTGCTGGGATTACAGGTGTGAGCCACTGTGCCCGGCCTCATCTTTCTTTTTTTGAGACAGGTTCTCACTCTTTCACCCAGGCTGGAGTGCGGTGGCTCGAATTAGGATGGCTGCTACCTCCGCCTCCCAGGCTCAAGTGATTCTCATGCCTCGGCTTCCCTGAGTGGTCTTCCCCAGCGTGTGCCACCAGGCCTGGCTGATATTTGCATTTTTAGTAGAGACAAGCAGGGTTTAGCCATGTTGGCTAGGCTGGCCCACTAGTCTTTTTTTTTTGTTTGTTTGTTTTTAATTCATTTTTTTGGAGACGGAGTCTTGCTCTGTCCCCCAGGCTAGAGTGCAGTGTCCCGTAATCTTGGCACACTGCAATCTCTGCCTCCTGGGTTCAAGTGATTCTCCTGCCTCAGCCTCTCCAGTAGCAGGGATTACAGGCTCCTGCCACCGCGCCTGGCTAATTTTTGTATTTTTAGTAGAGACGTGGTTTCACCATCTTGGTCAGGCTGGTCTTGAACTCCTGGCCTCATGATCCACCAGCTTCAGCCTCCCAAACTTCTCGGATTACAGGCGTGAGCCACCGCCCCCGGCCTCACTCATCTTTAAGATGACAACACTGTACAGTAATTTAAGAAAACAGGATCCGTTTACCAAATCCTACACACGTTCCTTCCTTTTGGGTTTGTGTACTTTTAGTCACCAGTCAAGGAGATACGCCTCCCCCCACCTTTTTCTTTTTCTTTCTTTCTTTTTTCAATCCTCCCGCCTTGGATTCCCAAAGTGCTGGGATTACTGGGGTGAGCCACCATGCCCATCTGGCCTAAAGAGACATCCATTGAAAGTAAGAAATAGAGAGCTCCTTTCAGTGATTTGATTAATTGATTTAGAGACAGCGTCTCACTCTGTCACCCTGGCTGGAGTGCAGTGGTGTCATCATAGCTCACTCATTGCAGCCTGGACACATCTTAGCTCAAGCGATCTTTCCTCCTCAGCCTCCATAGTAGTACCTGGACCACAGGCACGCGCCTCTGTGCCCAGATCACTTTTAAATTTTTTAGAGTCTCATCACTTCGTTGCAATCCTCCTGATTCAGCGTCTCAAGGTGCTGGAATGATGAGCGTGAGCCACTTCGCCTGGCCTCAGGGGAATGATTCACAACCACAACTAGTCTACTATTTTTTTTTCCTTTTTTTTTTTTTTTTTTAGAACGAGTCTTGCTCTGTGCCAGGCGAGGCGCATCACTTTGGAAGGCACAGCACCGCGTTCCAAAGCCCCACTAAAATGCACAAAGCTTTGTTCCCTTCCTGGAGTCAGAGCTGGTGACTTCCATAGCCTCAGGCCTCTCTCCATTCAGAAGCTTTTGCAGGCACCACCCCACCAGAAGCCTGGCTGCGGTTGGCGACTGGGGGGTGGGGTGGGGCTAGAAAGTCAGTCCCCCACCTTTGCTAGTTTGGCCAGGACATACCCCGCCCCCCACCGCTTGCTCACCCTTTGAGATTCCCCGCCTCCACCGCTTTGGAAGCTGACCTTTTACTTTACTTTCTTTCTTCCTTTGTTGAGCTTGAGTAGGGGGTACAGGGGTGAGGGTGTGTGTGGGGAGGGGGTGTGGGGTGAGGACGGAGGGGAGTGTCCTAAGGCTCGATTTAGGGTCATGCCTCTTTTATCACCATCACCGAAGATGAAACCAAAAATAATTAATACCTCGTGTTCTCATCTATAAGTGGGAACTAAATAATGAGAACACTTGGGGAGAAAGGGGGACGACAGACACGGGGCTCTACTTGAGGGAGGAGGAGTGGGAGGAGAGACAGTTTCAGATAAAAACTGTCAGGTATTGCGCTGAGTACCCGGTTGATGAAATAATCCGCACACTGAACCCCCAGTCAGAAGTTACCTATATAACAATCTTGCACATGTATGCTTGAACAAGAAATAAAAGTTGAGAGAGAGAGAGAGAGAAATAAAACCAAACACCACCTCCTCGACCTGAGTCAGGGTTTATCCGGCCTTGTGGGGGACTTTCAGCGGCAATGGAAGAAAGCCACAGTTAGCCCCATGGAATATTTTCTGCCTCTTAAGGGATCAGAAACTGCAAACCACTGTAGTTTCTGAAGGGGAAAAGGGAAGGAAGGCGGGGGAGTATTTCAGTCTTTTTTTTTTTTTTTTTTTGGGAGACTGAGTGTCTTGCTCTGCTGCCCAGGCTGGGGTGCAGTGGCGCTGTCTCGGCTCACTGCAACCTCTGCCTTCCGGATTCCAGCGATTCTCCTGCTTCAGCCTTCAGTAGCTGGGATTACAGACGCACACAGCCACTCCCGGCTAATTGTTGTATTTTTCGTAGAGACGGGGTTTTGCCATGTTGGCCAGGGTGGTCTCGAACTCCTGACTTGAAGTGATCCACTCTCCTGGGCCTCCCAAATTGCTGGCATGACAGGCGTGAGCCGCCCAGATTTTAGCCTTTAAAAGCGCGTGTTCTGCCGCCTTTCACTGCGGCCCTTATGCTCTGAATGATGTGTAATTTTTGCTATAGGTCGACTTCCTGAGTCCCCTCTCCCCGTTAGTTACTCAGTTAAGTAAGTTAGTTTTGTTTTCTATCTTCTTCGCTTTTAGACAGTGTGATCGCCACGCCTGTTGTCGGTGGCTAGCAGACTGTGTGTCGCCCCAAGACGGATGTACAGAATCCCACTGGGAGGGGAAAAACGGATCGGGGTATCTGGTGACCTTGGCCTGGGGAGACCGTCATTTTCCCTGCTCACAAAAAGGTCACGTGGGGGCAGAGGGAGCACTTTGCCTTTGGCCCTCTGAAGTTTCACCTGAAACCTCAACTCGTCAGAGGCAGATGAATAAAAGAATAGGCAGACATGTTTCTGGGACCTGTCTTCACGGGAGTCTGCAGAACGAAGGCCCTGAGATGACAGGGAAATTGTCTGTGTATATGCTTGGGTTCCATAGGGTGTGTCTGGTTTGACCGTAGGTCCTGAGACCCCCGTTCCGGGGAGGGCCCTGCCCCTTCCATGAAAGGAAGGAGCACCGTACTTAAAGAGGACGAGAGGAATCTAGACAGACGGGCCTTGCTGGGCTTCCCCACTCGGTGTATGATTTGGGGAGGTCGAGGCCAGGTCTCAATTTGGATGAAAGGGGCATTTTCAGACTTTTCCCCCGTCACTTGTGGCGTCTATACTTCTCGTATTTCCCTGACAAACTCCTCCACTTAAAAATAAACCGTTAAAGAAAATTTTACCTAGTGAAACCAATTGTGAAGGTGCCAAGGAAGAAAGCTCATTATTGTGGCATAAAATTCTATACACATGGTGGGGTGCAGTGGCTGATGCCTGTAATCCCAGTACTTTGGGAGGCCGAGGTGGGTGGATCACCTGAGATCAGGAGTTTAAGACCAGTCAGACTCACATGGAGTAACCCTGTCTCTACTAAAAATACAAAATTAACCGTTCGTGGTGGCACATGCTTGTAATTGCAGGTACTTGGGAGACTGAGGCAGAAAATTCGCTTGAACCTGAGGGACAGAGGTTTCAGTGAGCCGAGATAGTGCCACTACACTCCAGCCTGGGCAACAAGAGCGAAACTCCGTAGAGTGATTTCTAATAAATGCCACTGTGTCGCTACCAGGCTAGGACGGCAGTGATGTTATTGTGGCGAGACACTGCGTGGAGCGATGTGTAGTGTGCGGACTCCGATCTTAGAGGTCGGATGTGGATGTTTCGGGATTCACCGAACTAGATTCCTGACTGATTCACCACAGGGTGGACTTTGGGGAACACGACTGAGAAACGGGTACTACGTCAGCGAAAACTGGCCCCAGAACAGGAGGGAGTGTGGTGCCAGCTGTCCTCTCTGTGAAATCCACGCTGTGTCCGGGAGCGTGGATTTCATGGAATTCCTCCCTTTGTGACAGGTATTGCCACTCTGAGGTCGTGGGTCTGGAGTATACTCTGAAACGCTATGGACTGGTCTTCTGCCTTAGATAGGTCCCACCTCGGGACCTAGTCTCTGTCCGCACTCCCATGCTCTGGTGGTCCTCTTTTCTCTCTGGGGGGAAGGAAGTTCCAGACGATCCCATGAGCAGAAAGGTAGGCTGTGTACCCTGAAGGCTCTGGTCGACTAGTCGTGGGCATCGGCTGGGAGGACTCCCTGGGCCCAGAAACGACCTGGACTGAGAGGGATGGGCAAGAGGTCAGGGAGTGGGTGTGCCTCTGCCGCCCCCCTCCCCAACCTCCACCGGGACTCAGAGAGATCCTTTGTTCGCTTCTTTTCCGTGCACACACTTGCAAGCATCGGTTGTCTTCGGGCGTCACCTAGCGGCCACTGTTATTGAAAGTCGAAGTGGCACGAAGGGAGGTCTGGCCGACTTTACAAAGCCTGGGGCAACTGGTTTCTCTCCCTCCCTCCTGGAGGCCCCTCCCTCTCTCCCTCGTTGCTTAGGGAACCTCAGCCTTGGCGGGGCCCCTATTGTTCTTTTACCAGCACTTTATTTTTCTTCGTGTGTTGGTTTCTTTAATGCGCATAGGCTCTTCCACTTTGGCTTTATGTGGAGTCACTTTAAGTCTCCCCCCGGCCCCCCATGCCCCTTTACCTTAATTTAGTGTTAGTTAGGTGGGTTTCCCCCAACCCCCCCGCCTCCCAGCATCCTGCTTGGAAACGTTCCAGAACCACTCTTGCATGTCTCCGTCTTCTCTCCCCTTCCCCTACCCCTCACCGGCGATCACATTCTGGCCAGGCTGACATTTGCATTGGTGGTCGCCAGGCATCACTCATTGGCCACCGTTTTTGAAGATGGGGGCGGCACGGTTCCACTTCCCCAGAGGCAGCTTGGGCAGATGGCATAGCCCTTGACCCGCGTGGGCAAGCCGGCCGGCGGGCCGGACTGCAGTTGTGGGTTTTTCCCCCTTCCCTCCTCAGGCCTCCCTACCTAGGAAAGCTTCATCCTGGCTGGGTCTCAAACAACTTGTCGAGATGTTTTATTTTCTCCTCCCTCAGGCTAGCATATTTTCAAAATGGAAAGGGTGTCACAGCTCTACCCTGGGCCTTATTAGTATTTGCCCAAAATAGAAACACTTTCTAAAACGCGTTTTGCTCATTTAAGATTTCCAGAGACGATGCATTGGCCCATGTTTGTTTGCTTGTTTATTTTGTTTTGTTTGTGTCTTTCCTTTTTCTTATTTATTTCTTTTCAGGTGAAGTAGAATTCACCAATTTTTAGGAAGACCGTATATTTTCCCCAGGACATGTTAGCTGCTGTTTTCTTCTGTTGTTAACTAGCGCTTTTGCGAATCTCTGAATGTGTAGTGAGAGCCAGTTAATGTAAACTGTAGTTCATAACATCTTATTTTCTAGAAATTCGTAAGTGAGTGCTGCTGCTGCCGCTATTGTTTTTGATGTTGTTGTTTTCGAAGCATACTCCGGCCACCATTTATGGCATCAAAGCTTTATAAAATATGTGTAATTATTTCTTGAGTACCCCCTTCCTCTTCCTCTTCCTCTCTCCATCTCTCTGTCTCTCTCTCTCTGTCTCTGTCTCACTCTGTCCCTTTCCTTGTCCCTCTCTCTCTGTCCTTCTCTCTCTCTCTTTGTCTATGTCTGTCTGCCTGTTTCTCTCTCTTCCTGTCTCTGTTTCTTAGTCTGTGTCTCTCTCTGTCTTCTGTCATTCTCTCTCTCTTTCTTTATCTCTGTGTGTCTCTCTGTCTCTCTTTGTCTCTGTCTCTCTCTGTCAGTCTCTTTCTCTGTCCATCTGCCTCTCTCTTTCTCTGTGTCTCTCTCTTTTTCTCTTTCTTTTTTTATGTCATCTCTCTCTGCCTTTGTCTCCCTCTTATTCTCTCTCTCTCTCTCTCTGTCTCTCTCTCTGTATCTTTCTCTCTCTGTCTTATTCTGTCCCTCCCTGTCTTTTTTTCTAAAATAGGCTCAGGTAGATCTAATCTAATCTATTACCAAGGGTGAATTCTTAACTTTAGAAATCCCAGATTTGATCTCCATACAGAATCCTGTACAGAACTGGTGAGTTGATTTCTGGGCTTGGATACCTCATAGATATTACATATTAATAAAGATCCAACCCTAAAATCTGAGTTTGATTCTCCCTCGCTTCAGCTGTGACCCAGAATTACTGTCTTGATAAATCGTACCTCTGTTCACCTAGGATGCTAGGAGGGTTTTCTCAATCTGAATCACCCCGTGTCCTAAACAACCCATGACTGAGCCCTGTCTGTTCTGTCTTAAATATGTATCACCAAACACTTTTCTCCATTTCCAAAACTACCCATGGCCCCTTGTTGAACCACTGGCTCTTTGAAAAACCTCCCAGAAGTGGTTTCAGCTTTTTGGCTAGGAGGCCGAAGCCTGCTGAGAACTTGCCTTGCCAGGATTCTGTGTGAACACAAGTGCCTCTGCTGGGGAGCTGTGATCCTTGAGACCATGCTTGCTAGCTTCCTCTGGAAGGATGCGTGGGACTTCACAAAGCTGACCACTCCCAACGAGGTCAAATGCATACCTCTACATTGGCCCTTGGCCTCCACCGTATATCACTCTCACCATCACCATCAGCATTCTTGTGAGCCTGCCCAAGCCACCCACTCCAGGGAGATATTTGGGAGGGCTACCTTCCTCTGCTTAAGTCCAGCACGACAGCAACCTCCACCCACATGGTCTCCACTGCACTGTGAAGATGTGGAGAGTAGGGCAGACAGAAGAGCAGGAGGGGAGACGTCCTGACAGGTGATGAGTTCCCTAGACTCTGACCAATCCAACCAAGTCCCATGTCTCCGGCACCACCCGGACACTGCCACTCTTTCCCCTCCTCTGTCTACAGCGTCCCACACCAGCACACACGTTGGAGGTTACAAAACCACACGGTGTGAGTAGAACCTTACGCTCTCCTTATGCGAGTGTCCGGAGCGCATAGATGGGACGTTTGTTTGATCTTGGCATCATCTTTAACCTGTGGCTGCTTGCTGGGAAACAGATTCTCCCATTTTTATTGAATGGAGCGAGAGCCCATTTCACGAGGGGTTCTGTAGAGAGCCTGATTCTCCAGCATGGGTGGCTACAGGCTAGAAATGAATATGGCTTCTTGAGCGAAGGGAATTTCTTAGGCCGCCACTTGTGTGGGACTACCTCTCAAACCCTCCCTTGAGGCCACAAAATAATTTCCACCCCACCCCCTGACATTTCCCCGGGTGCTGGATGTATCCTGTCAGGAGACCTGAGTGTGACACTTTGAGTTAAACACCTTCATTGGCTTTGCTTGTTTGTTTGTTTCTGAGATGGAGTCTCGCTCTGTCCACCAGGCTGGATTTACAGTGGCTCCGCTTTTTGGGTTCAAGCAATTCTCCTGCCCAGCCTCCTGAGTAGCTAAGATTACAGGCACACACCACCACACCCAGTTAATTTTTGTATTTTTAGTAGAGATGGGGTTTCACCATGTTGGCCAGGCTGGTCTCACAATCATGACCTCGTTATCTGCCTGCCTCAGCCTCCCAAAGTACTGGGATGACAGACATGAGCCACTGCACCCAGCCACCTTCACTGGTTTTAACTGGAGATTCTAGATTCAAACCACACCTCATTCTATGCCACAGAATGACCTTTATCCTGCCAATTTAGGAATGTCCGGCCCCTTGTCATCCATTTCAAACCACGAGTCACCTCATGTTTGGAAAACGGGTCTGCTCTCAACTTCAGTGGAGGGATGTGGCATGTAGGATGAGGGACTGTTCCTTCTGACTTGGTCTGTACAGTGGGGCCTAGGACTAGAACTCACTGAGGACCAATGGCTCCCTCTACCCTGGATTGCATCAACCCCACCGTGGGACATAGGCCTTGGCAGATCCTGGCCCTTAAGACACTGTCAGAAACCCCATCCCTTGCTCGGATGCCCCGAATGACTGTGGCTTGTGCCTCTACAGAAACATTTGAAATCTATCCTCTACAAGTGGCCATGTAAAACCACAGGAGTGCGGCACACTCGGCCACCATCCACCTCCACCCTTTCGGGAGAGAATGCTGAAAGTCTCTGGTTGACACTCCCTTGACTTGAGTTCTTCACGGGCATGTGTTCAAGATATAGTGAGACCAGATGTATTAAGTCAGGCTGGGTGCAGTGGCTCATGTCTACAACCCCAACACTTTGGGAGACTGAGACAGTAGGAATGCTTGAACCTAGGAACTCGAGTCAAGTCTTGGACAACACAGCCAAAACCCGAAGTACATGCCTGTGCTCCTGGCTACTTGGGAGGCCAAAGTGGGAGAATCACCTAACCCTGGAGAGGTTGATGCTGCAGTCACCCATAATAGTGTCACTGCCCTGCAGCCTTGATGACAGTCAGAATGAGACCCTGTCACAAACAGATGGACAGACAGACAGACAACAGCTATATTATGTTTTTCTCAGGGTAGGAAGCAAAAATAACAGAATACAGCATTTAAGATTGTTTTATTTTAAATTTTAATCTATTTATTTATAATTTTGAGTCCAGATTATGAAACCAGCTAATGTTTGTATTTTTGTAGAGAGGAGGTTTCACCATGTTGCCAAGGCTGTTCTGGATTGCCTGGGATCAAGGGATTCACGAGCCTTCAGGTTCCCAAAGTGTGGGGATGACAGGCGTGAGCCACTGCCCCTGAAAGCATTGTTTTTGTTTTGTTTATTTCCTTTTTCAATCGCTTGTCCTTATGAGAGTTTCACTGCAGAGTGTTTGGCTGGCTTGTTTAAATTCAATCTAAATAGAAATTGAGGATGTCAACTTCTGGCCTTATAGACTCTGAGGTGATGAGTCCCCTGGTCTGTCTATCACAGGATGGTACACGTGATGAGTAAAAAAAGTAACATTTACAATAAGTAATTTCATTATACAGAAATACACGGATGCAACCAAAACAAAGAAATGATTCTTTTAAAAATTGTCTTAGTCCTAGTGGGTGTGCCAGTGATTCTTTTAGGCTTGGACCTTGACTGAGAGAATTTCCAGTCAGTCTCTCATCTCTGAGTGGAAGTTCCAGGTGATCTAATGACTGGGGACTTAGGCTGTGTTTTTCAGGGACCCTGGTTGATTAGCTGTGGGGACCACCTTGGAGAGTATGGCTACCCACTGTGCTGTGGGGGCCTCCTTCTCTTCCTCCCTCACTCTGGGCGATCTCAATTCACTCCAGGCTGACACTCTCATTGGCAGATGTCAGGCATCGCCTAGAGGACACTGTTACTCTGAAAACTGAGGCCTCAAGGAGGAAGGAAGCTCAGGCCACCTGCCCACAGCCCAGGGCAACTGTGTCTTCCCCACTGCCCCTGCCACAACTTCCAAGTTCCTCCCTCCCTTGTTGCCTAGAAAATTGCCGCACTGATGACTGAGGTCAGATTGTTCTTCACTCATATATAAAAAATATAGGCAAGTCATGGTGGTCCACACCCATCATCTCAGCACTTTCGGAGGCTGATGTGAGTAGAACACGAGGTCAGGTGTTCGAGACCAGCCTGGCCAGCATGATGAAACCCTGTTTCTACTAACAATACAATAAATTACTTGGGCGTGGTGGCATGTACCAGTAATCCCAGCTACCTGGGAAGCTGAGGTAGGAGAATTGCTTGAACCCGGGTGGCAGAGATTGCAGTGAGCTGAGATCACAGCATTGCACTCCAGTCTTTGTGACACAGTGAGACTCCATTTCAGAAAAAAAAAAAAAATCTCAACTCACCAGGAAGGGAACAAAACAGCATGGACAATGAGTTTGATGGATTGACAGAAGTCGGCTTCAGAACGTGGGGAATAACAAACTCCTCTGAGCTAAAAAAACATGTTCTAATGCAATGCAAGGAACCTAAGAACCTTGAAAAAAGGTTAGACAAACTGATAACTAGAATAACCAGTCTAGAGAAGAGCATAAATGACCTGATGGAGCTGAAAAACAAAGCACAAGAATTTCGTGAAGCATCAATAGCTGAATAAATCAAGTGGAAAAAAATCAGAGATTGAAAATCAACTGGCCGGGCATGGTGGCTCATGCCTGTAATCCCAGCACTTTGGGAGGCTAAGGCAGGCGGATCAGGAGGTCAGGAGATCGAGACCATCCTGGCTAACACAGTGAAACTCCATCTCTACTAAAAATACAAAAAAATTAGCCGGGCACGGTGGCAGGTGCCTGTAGTCTCAGCTACTTGAGAGGCTGAGGCAGGAGAATGGCATGAATCCGGGAGGCAGAGCTTGCAGTGAGCCGAGATAGCGCCACGGCAGTTGGCCTGGGTGAAAGAAAAGAAAAGAAAATCAACTTAATGAAATAAAGTGAGAATACAAGATTATAGAAAGAAGACTAAAAAGAAAAGAACAAAGCCTCCAGGAAATATGGGACTATGTGAAAACACCAAATCTACATTTGACTGGTTACCTAAAAGTGATGGGGAGGATGGAACCAAGCTGGAAAACACTGTTCAGGATATTACCCAGGAGAACTTCTCCAACCTAGCAGGACAGGCCAACCTTCAAATTCAGGAAATACAGAAAACACCACAGAGACATTCCTCGAGAAGAGTAATCCCAAGGAATATACATAATCACCAGAGTTACCAAGGTTAAAATGAAGAAAAAAAATGTTAAAGACAGCCAGAGAGAAAAGTCAGGTCACCCACAAGGGGAATCCCATCAGACTAATATCGCGGGATATTCAATTTTTCACTACTGGCTTCAATGGGCTCTGAAATGTCCCTTCATAGATTCTACAAAAAGAGTGTTTCCAACCTGCTGAATCAAAAGAAAGGTTTAACTCCATGAGATGAATCCACACATCATGAAGTGGTTTCACAGATACTTTGTTTATATTTTTTATCATGGGAAATTCTGTTTTTCCCTATAGGCCTTAATGGGCTCTGAAATGTCCCTTTGCAGATTCTAGAAAAATAATTTTTCCAACCTACTGAATCAAAGGAAAGGTTTACCTCTGTGAGATGAATCCACACATCATTAAGTGGTATCACAGATAGCTTGTTTCTTGTTTTTAATGCAGGTTACTCGGTTTTTCCCTATAGGCCTTAATAGGCTCCAAATTGTCTCTTGGTGGATTCTACATAAATAGAATTTCCAACCTGCTGAATCAAAAAAAGGTTTACCTCTGTGAAATGAATGAACACATTGCAAAGTGATTTCACAGAGAGCTTGTTTTTAGTTACTGTCTTGGAATATTCGGTTTTTCACTATAGGCCTCAATGGGTTCCAAAATATCCCTTGGTAGATTCTAAAAAAAGATGGTTTCTAACCTGCTGAATCAAAAGAAAGGTTCAACTCTGTGAAATGAATCCACACATTCCAAAGCAGCTTCACAGATAGCTTATTTCTATTCTTTATCTCCAGATATTCGGTTTTTCACAATAGGTCTTAATGTGTTCTGAAATTACCCTTTGAATATTCCACAAATAGAGTGTTTCCAAAATGCTAAGTCAGAAGAAAGGTTTATCTCTGTGAGATCAATCCACACATCATAATGCCGTTTCACAGGTAGATTATTTCTCATTTTTATCATGAGATATTCGTTTTTTTTCCAATAGACTTCATGGGCTCTGAAATGTTCCTTCTAAGGCTCTACTAAAAGAGGTTTACAACCTACTGCATCAAAAGAAAGGCCTATCTCTGTGAGATGAATCCACACATCGCATAAACGTTTCACAGAGAGCTTGTTTGTTTCTAGATTTTTTTTTTGAGAAGCAGTTTTGGTCTTGTTGACCAGGTTAAAGTGCAATGGTGGGGTCTCTGTTCACCAAAACCTCCACCTCCTGGGTTTAAGCAATTCTCCTGCCTCAGCCTCCTGAATAGCTGGGATTTGAAACATGCACCATAATGCCCAGAGCAATTTGTATTTTTATTAGAGACAGGGTTTCTCCATGTTGGTCAAGCTGGTCTTAAACTCCTCACCACAGGTTATCTGCCCACCTTAGACTCATAAAGTGCTGGGATTACAAGTGTGAGCAACAGTGCCTGCCCTTGTTTCTAGTTTTTATTGTGGGATATTCAGTTTTTCAAAATAGGCCTCAATGGGCTTTGATATGTCCCTATAGAGATTCTACTTAAAGAGTGGTTCCAACCTGCTGAATCAAAAGAGAAGTGTAGGTCTGTGAAATGAATCCAAATATGACATAATCGTTTCATAGCTAGCTTGTTCTAGTTTGCATAGTAGGATATTCAGTTTTTCATTATTGGCCTCAATTGGCTCTGAAATGTCACTTTGCAGATTCTACAAAAAAAGTGTTTTGAACTGGCTGAATCAAAAGAAAGCTTAACTCTGTGAGATGAATCCACATATCACCAAGCTGTTTCACAGATTTATTGCAGAATATTCAATTTTTCACTGTAGGATTCAATGGGCTCCAAAATGTCCCTTAGTAGATTTTTTTTTTGAGATGGAGTCTCAATCTGTCACTCAGGTTGGAGTACAGTGGCATGATCTAGGCTCACTGCATGCTCCACCTCCTGCATTCACGTCATTCTCCTGCCTCAGCCTCCTGAGTACCTGGGACTACAGGCACCCACCACCAAGCCCTGCCTTTTTTTTTTTTTTTTTTTTTTTGTATTTTTAGTAGAGACAGCGTTTACTGTGTTAGCCAGGATGGTCCCCATCTCCTGACCTCATGATCCACCCACTTTAGCATCCCATAGTGCTGGAATTACAGGTGTGAGCCACTGTGCCTGGCCATCCTTTAGTAGAGTCTAAAAAAAGTTTCCAACCGGCTGAGTCAAAGAAAATTTTAACTCCGTTAGATGAACTCACACAATGCCAAGCAGTTTCCTAGATAGCTTGTTTCTAGTTTTTATTATGTGATAATCTGCTTTTCACTATAGTTCTTGATGGGCTCAGAAATGTCCTTTGTACATTCCACAAGAAGAGTGTTTGCAGAATCAAAAGAACTTTTTAACTCTGTAAGGTGAATCCACACATAGCAAAGCAGTTTTACAGATATCTTGTTTCTAGATTTTATCATGGGATATTCAGTTTTTCGCTATACACCTCAATGGGCTCCAAAATATAACATTGTGGATTCTAAAAAGAGAGAGTTTCCAACCTGTTGAATCAAAAGTAAGTTTTAACTCTGTGCAATAATTGCACACATCATAAAAGCATTCAACAGAAAGTTTGTTGCTAGTTTTTGTCATGGAATATTTGGTTTTTCACTACAGGCCTCACTGGGCCTTGTAATATCCCTTCACATAGTCTACAAAATGAGGGTTTCCAACCAGCTGAATCAAAAGAAAGATTTAACTCTGTGAGCTGAATCCACACACCACAAAGCTGTTTCACAGATAGCTTTTTTCTAGTTTTTATCACAGGATATTCCGTTTTTCACTATAGGCCTCAGTGGGCTCCAATACATTCTTTCACAGATCCTACAAAAAGAGTGTTTCCACCCAGCTGAATCAAAAGAAAGGTTCAACTCTGTAAGCTAAATCCACACACACAAAGTGGTTTCACAAATAGCTTCTTTATAGTTTTTATCATGGTATATTTGGAATTTCACTATAGGCCACATAAAGTTCTGAAATGTCCATTTGTAAATTCTATACATAGAGTGCTTTCAACCTGCTGAAACAAAAGAAATGTTTATCTTGGTGAAATGAATCCGCACATCCCAAAGCGGCTTTACAGTTAGACTCTTTCTAGTTTTTTTTGCAGGATATTCCATTTTTCACTATAGGCCTCAATGGGATCTCAACTGTCCCTTTGTAGATGCTTCAAAAAGAGGGTTTCTGACATGCTGAATCAAAGGAAAGGTTTAGCTTTTTAAGGTGAGTTCACACATCACAAAGCAGTTTCACAGATAGCTTCTTTCTAGTTTTTATGGTGGAATATTCGGTATTTCAATATAGGCATCAGTGGGCTCCAAAATGTTCCTTTGAAGATTCTAGAAAAAGAATGTTTTCAACATGTTAAATCAAAAGAAAAGTTTAACTTCTGGAATCCACATGTTGCAAAGTGGTTTAACAGATATCAATTTTCTAGTTTTCATTGCAGCATATTCTTTTTTTTAAATATAGGCCTCAATGGGCTGCAAAATGGCTCCTTGTAGACTATACAAAAAGAATGTTACTGAGCTGCCGAATCAAAAGCAAAGTTTTGCTCTTGGAGATGAACTTACGCATTGCAAAGCAGTTTCACAGATAACTTCTTTCTTGTTTGTATTGCCGGATATTTGGTTTTTCACTATAGGCCCTAATGTGCCTTGAAATATCTCTTTGCAGATTCTACAAAAAGAGTGTTTACAAGCTCCTGATTCAAAAGAAAGGTTTAACTCTCTGAGCTGAAACCACACATTACAAAACAGTTTCACAGATAGCTTTTTTCTAGTTTCTATTTCAGGATATTTGGTTTTTCACTATAGGCCTCAATGCCCTTTGAAATGTTTTGATGCACAATCTACAAAAAGAGTGTTTCCAAACTGCAGAATCCAAAGTAAGGTTTAATTCTGTGAACTGCATGCATGCCTCACAAAACAGGATCACAAATAGCTTCTTTCTTGTTTTTCTTTTGGGATATTTAGTTTTTCACTATAGGCCTCAGTGGGCTCTAAATTGTCCCTTTGGAGAGTCTGCAAAAAGAGTGTTTTTAAACTGCTGAATCAAAAGAAAGGATTGACTCTGTGAGCTGAATGCAGACATCACAACGCAGTTTCACAGATAGCTTCTTTCTAGTTTTTATCATGGGATATTTCCAAACTGCTGAATCAAAAGAATGGTTTCACTCTGTGAGCTGAATCTAACATCACAAAGCAGTTTCACGGATAGCTTCTTTCTAGTTTTTATCATGGGATATTCATTTTTTTCCTATAAGCCTAAATGCCCTCCAAAATTTCCATTCGCATATTCTACAAAAAGAGACTTGCCAATCTGCTGAATCAAAAGTAAGGTTTAACTCTGTGAGCTGAATGTACATATCAGAAAACAGTTTCACAGATAGCTTCTTTCTAGTTTTTATCACAGGGTATTAAGTTTTTCACTACAGGTCTCACTGGACTCTGAAATGTCCCTTGGCTGATTCTACAAAAAGCATGTTTCCAAACTGCTTAATGAAAAGAAAGGTTTAACCCTGAAAGCTGAAGCCACACATCAGGAAGCAGTTTCACAGATAGATTCTCATTTTTATTTTTGGATATTCATTTTTTCACTTTAAGCCTCAGTCAGCACTAAAATGTTTCTTTGCAGATACTACAAGAGGGGTATTTTCAAACGGTTGAATCAAATGTTACATTGAAAACTGTGAACTAAATGCATATGTCACAAAGCAGTTTCACAGATAGGTTCTTTCTAGATTTTATTTTGGGATATTCAGTTTTTCACTATAGGCCTCAGTGGAGTCTGAAATGTCACTTTGCAGATTCTACAAAAAGAGTGTTTCCAAACTGCTGAATCAAAAGTAAGTTATAAATCTTTGACCTGAATGTACACATTACAGAGCATTTTCACAAATAGCTTCTAGCTAGTTTTTATTTTGCAACATTCTGTTTTTCACTGTAGGCCTCACTGTGCCCTGAAATGTCCCCTTGTAGATTCTAGAAAAAGAGTGTTTCCAATCTGCTGAATCAAAAGAAAGGTTTAACTCTGTGAGCTGAATGCACACATCACAAAGCAGTTTAACAGCTTCTTTCTAGTTTTTATTTCAGGATATTTGGTTTTTCACTATTTGCCTCAGTGGGCTCCTAAATGTTGTTTCACAGATTCTACAAAAAGAGCTTCTGTCTGGGTGCAGTGGCTCATGCCTGTAATCCCATCCCTTTGGGAGGCTAAGGTGGGCAGATCACTAGGTCAGGAGATCAAGACCATCCTGGCTAACATGGTGAAAGCCCATCTCTACTAAAAATACAAAAAATTAGCCAGGTGTGGTGGCAGGTGCCTGTAGTCCCAGCTACTCTGTAGGCTGAGGTGGGAGAATGATGTGAACCAGGGAGGTGGAGCTTGCAGTGAATCGAGATCCCACCACAGCACTCCAGCCTTGGTGACAGAGTGAGACTCCATCTCAAAAAAAAAAAAAAAGAGTATTTCCAAACAGCTGAATCAAAGGTAAGGTTTAACTCTGCAAGCTGAATGTACATATCACAAAGCAGTTTCACAAATAGCTTCTTACTAATTTTTATTTTAGGATATTCTGTTTTTCACTGTAGGACTTACTGTGCCCCAGAATGTCACTTCGTAGATTCTACAAGAAGAGTGTTTCCAATCTGCTAAATCAAAAGAAAGGTTTCACTCTGTGAGCTAAATACACATATCACAAAGCGGTTTCACAAATAGATTCTTTCTAGTTTTTTTTTTTTTTTTTTGATGGAGTTTCACTCTGTCACCCAGGCTGGGGTGCAAAGTCTTGATCTAGGTACACTCACCCTCTGCCACCCTAGTTCAAGCGATTCTCCAACCTCAACCTATAAAGTAAGTAGCTGAGATTATATTCTCCTGTCACTGTGCCTGGCTAATTTTTGTTTTTATAGTAGTGATGTTGTTTTGCCATCTTGGGCAGGCTAGTCTTGAACTCCTGACCTCATGATCTACCCACACAGGCATCCCAGAATGCTAGGATTACAGGCAAGAGTCACCATGTCCAGCAAATTTTTTCTAGTTTTTATAGTGGAATATTCATTTTTTCACTATAGGCCTCCAATGCCCTCTGAAATATCCCTTCACAGATTTTAAAAAAAGAGTGTTTCCAAACTGCTGAATCAAAGGTAAAATTTAACTTTGAGCTGGATGCACACATCACAAAGCAGTTTCACAGGTAGCTTCTTTCTAGTTTTTATTTTGGGATACTCCATTTTTCACTACAGGCCTCAGGGGGTTCCGAAATGTCCCTTTGCAGATTCTATAAAGAGAGTGTTTAAAAACATCTGATTAAAAAGTAAGGTTTAATTCTGTGAACTGAATGCACATGTCACAAAGCAGTTTCACAGATATCTTCTTTCTAGGTTTTTCCTAGAGATATTCAGGGTTTCACTATAGGTCTCAATGGGCTCCAAAACGTTCCTTTGCAAATTCTACAAAAAGAGTGTTTCCAACCTACTGTATCAAAAAAAAAAAAAAAAAAGTTTGACTCTGTGAACTGAATGCACATATCACAAAGCAGTTTCAAAGATAGCTTCTTCTAGGTTTTATCATGGTACATTCAGTTTTTCACTATAAGCCTTACTGAGCCTCAAAACGTCACTTTGCAGATTCTGAAAAAAGAGTGTTTCCAAACTGCTGAATCAAAAGTAAAATTTAATTCTGTGAGCTGAATTCACACATCACAAAGCAGTTTCACAGAAAGCTTCTTTCTAGCTTTTATCAGGGGATATTCAGTTTTTCACTATAGGCCTTAATGCCCTCTGAAATGTTCCTTCACAGACTCTACAAAAAGAGGGTTTCCAAACTGCTGAATTAAAAGAAACGTTTCACTATGTGAGTTTAATCCACATATCACAAAGCAGTTTCACAGATAGCTTCTTTCTCGTTTTTATTGAGGGATATTAAATTTATCACTATAGACCTTACTGTGCCTTGTAATATCCCTTTGCAGACTCTACAAAAAGAGTGTTTTCAAACTCCTGAATCAAAAGCCAGGTTTCACTTTGTGAGCTCAATTCACACATCACAAAGCTGTTTCACAGACAGCTTCTTTCTAGTTTTTATCACAGGACATTTTGTTTTTCAGTATATGCCTCAATGCCCTCCCAAATGTCCTTTCACAGATTCTACAAAAAAGTGTTTCCAAACTGCTGAATCAAAAGTAAATTTCAACTCTGTGAGCTAAATGCAAACTTCACAGAGAAGTTTCATGGAGTGTTTCTTGCTAGTTTTTATTTTGGGATATTTGGTTTTTCACTATAGGCCTCACTGGGGACAAAAATATCCCTTCACAGATTCTACAAAAATAGTGTTTCCAACTGCTGATTCAAAAGAGTAGTTTCACTCTGTGAGCTGAATCCACATATCAAAAGTAATTTCACAGATAGCCTCTATCTAGTTTTCATTGCAGGATATTCAGTTTTTCACTGTAAGCCTCAAAGCCCTTTAAAATGTTTCTTAACAGATTCCACAAAAAGAGTGTTGCCAAACTGCTGAATAAAAAGTAAGGTTTAACTCTGTGAGCTCAATACACAAAGCACAAAGCAGTTTCACAGATATATTCTTTCTAGTTTTCATTTTGTGATATTCTGTTTATCACTGAAGGTCTAAGTGAACCCCCAATTGTCCCTTTGCAGATTCTACAAAAAGAGTGTTTCCAAACTCCTGAATCAAAAGAAAGGTTTAACACTGTGAGCTGAATCCACTCATCCAAAGCAGTGTCACAGATAGCTTCTTTCTAGTTTTTATTGCAGGATATTCCGTTTTTCACCATAGTCCTCAATGCCTTCTAAAATGTCCCTTTGCAGACTATAAAAGAAGAGTGTTTCCAAACCGCTAAATCAAAGAAAAAGTTTAACTCTGAGAGCTGAATCTATACATCACAAAGCAGATTCACAGAGAGCTTCTTTTCAGTTTGTATTGAGGTATATTCGATTTTTCACTAGAGGCCTCAGTGAGCTCCAAAGTGTCCCTTTGCAAATTCTACAAAAAGAGTGTTTCCAACCTGCTGAATCAAAAGAAAAATTTCACTTTTGAGCTCAATGCACACTTCACAATGCAGTTTCACAGATAGCTTATTTCCAGTTTTTATTTAGGGATTTTTCTTTTTTCAATAATGGCCTTACTGTGCCTTGAAATGTTTCTTCATAGATCCTACAAAAAGAGTGTTTCCAAACTGCTGAATCAAAAGAAAGATTTAACTCTGTGAGCTGAATCCACTCATCACAAAGCAGTGTCACAGATACCTTTCCAGTTTTTATCATGGGATATTTTGTTTTTCACTATAGGCCTCAATGCGCTCCAAAATGTCCATTCCCAGACTCTACAAAAAGAGTGTTTCCAAACTGCTGAATCAAAAGTAAGGTTTAACTCTGTGAGCTGAATGCACACATCACAAAGCAGTATCACAGATAGCATCTTTCCAGTTTTTATCAAGGGATATTCTGTTTTTTTACTACAGACCTCAGTGGGCTTTGAAGTGTCCCTTTGCAGATTGTACAAAAAGAGTGATTCCAACCTGTTGAATCAAAAGTAATGTTTAGCTCTGTAAACTGAATGAGCATGTCACAAAGCAGTATTTACAGATAGCTTCACTCTAGTTTTTACCTAGAGTTATTTGGATTTTCACTGTAGGCCTCAGTGCATTCCAAAATGTCCCTTCACAGATTCTACAAAAAGAGAGTTTCCAACCTGCTGACGAATCTAAAGACAGTTTTGACTTTGTGAGCTGATGTGCACATCATAAAGCAGCTTCATAGATAGCTTCATTCTAGTTTTTATTTCTGGATATTTGGTCTTTGCTATAGGCCTCAGAGGGCTCCAAAACCTCCCTTTGCAGATTCTACAAAAATAGTGTTTCCAGCATGCTGAATCAAGAGAAAAGTTTAGCTCCATGAGCTGAATACACACATCACAAAGCACTTTCACAGATGGTTTCTTTCTAGTTTTTATCACAAGTTATTTGGTTTTTCACTATAGGCCTCAGTGCATTCTGAAATGTCCCTTTGCAGATTCTACAAAAAGATGGTTCCAAAAAGCTGAATAAAAAGTGAGGTTTAACTCTGTGGGCTGAATTCACACACCACAGAGAAGTTTCACAGCTGGCTTCTTTCCAGTTTTTGTCTAGAGATATTTGGCTTTTCACTATAGGCCTCAGTGGGCTTCAAAATGTCCCTTTGTAGATTCAACAAAAAGAGTGTTTCCAACTTGTTGAATCAAAGGAAGGTTTCACTCCATGAGCTGAATGCACACATCACAAAACAGTTTCAAAGATAGCTTCTTTCTAGTTTTTATTTCAGGATATATTTGGTTTTTCACACTAGGCCTCAATGTTCCCTGAAATATCCCCTTGCAGATTCTACAAAAAGAGTGTATTCAAACTTCTGAATCAACAGAGAGGTTTCACTCTGTGATCTGAATGTACACATCACAAAGCAGTTTCACAGATAGCTTCTTACAATTTTTTTTTCCAGGGATATTCAATTTTTCACTACTGGCCCCAGTGGACTTTGAAATTTCCCTTCACAGATTCTATAAAAATAGTGTTTCCAAACAGCTGAATCAAAAGTAAGGTTCAACTCTGTGAGCTGAATGGACACATCATAAAACAGTTTCACAGATAGCTTCTTTCTAGTTTTTATTTCAGGATATTTAATTTTTCACTATAGGCTTTAGTGGGCTCCTAAATCTCCCTTTGCAGCTTCTACAAAATGAGTGTTTCCTTCCTGCCAAATCAAAATAAATATGTCACTCTGTGAGCAGAATGCACACATCACAAAGCAGTTTCACATATAGCTTCTTTCTAGTGTTTATATGGGGATAATCTGTTTTTCACTCTAGGCCTTGATGCCTTCCAAAATGTCACTTCACAGATTCTGCAAAAAGAGTGTTTCCAAACTGCTGAATAATAAATGAGGTTTAACTCTGTGAGCTGATTGCACACATCGCAAATAAGATTCACAGATAACTTCTTTCTAGGTTTTATTTCAGGATATTCTATTTTTAATTTTATTATTATACTTTAAGTTTTAGGGTACATGTGCACAACGTGAAGGATTGTTACATATGTATACATTTGCCATGTTGGTGTGCTGCACCCATTCACTCAACATTTAGCATTAGGTATATCTCCTAATGCTATCCCTCCCCACTCCCCCCCACCACAGTCCCCAGTGTGTGATGTTCCCCTTCCTGTGTCCAAGTGTTCTCATTGTTCAACTCCCACCTATGAGTGAGAACATGCGGTGTTTGGTTATTTGTCCTTGTGATAGTTTGCTGAGAATGATGGCTTCCAGCTTCATCCATGTCCTTACAAAGGACATGAACTCATCATTTTTTATGGCTGCATAGTATTCCATGGCGTATATGTGCCACATTTTCTTAATCCAGTCTATCATTGTTGGATATTTGGGTTGGTTCCTAGTCTTTGATATTGTGAATAGTACCTCAATAAACATACGTGTACATGTGTCTTTATAGCAGCATGATTTATAATCCTTTGGGTATATATCCAGTAATGGGATGGCTAGGTCAAATGATATTTCTAGTTCTAGATCCCTGAGAAATCACCACACTGACGTCCACAATGGTTGAACCAGTTTACAGTCCCACCAACAGTGTCAAAGTGTTCCTATTTCTCCACATCCTCTCCAGCACCTGTTGTTTCCTGACTTTTTAATGATCGCCATTCTAACTGGTGTGAGATGGTATCTCATTGTGGTTTTGATTTGCATTTCTCTGATGGCCAGTGATAATGAGCATTTCTTCATGTGTTTTTTTGGCTGCATAAATGTCTTCTTTTGAGAAGTGTCTGTTCATATCCTTAACTGTCTTGTTGATGGGATTGTTTTTTTTTTCTTGTAAATTTGTTTGAGTTCATTGTAGATTCTGGATATTAGCCCTTAGTCAGATGAGTAGGTTGCAAAAATTTTCTCCCATTCTGTAGGTTGCCTGTTCACTCTGATGGTAGTTTCTTTTGCTATGCAGAAGCTCTTTAGTTTAATTAGATCCCATTTGTCAATTTTGGCTTTTGTTGCCATTGCTTTTGGTGTTTTAGACATGAAGTCCTTGCCCATGCCTATGTCCTGAATGGTATTGCCTAATTTTTCTTATAGGGTTTTTATTGTTTCAGGTCTAACATTTAAGTCTTTAATCCATCTTGAATTAATTTTTGTAGAAAGTGTAAGGAAGGGATCCAGTTTCAGCTTTCTACATATGGCTAGCCAGTTTTCCCAGTACCATTTATTAAATAGGGAATCCTTTCCCCATTGCTTATTTTTGTCAGGTTTAGTCAAAGATCAGATAGTTGTAGATATGTGGCATTATTTCTGAGGGCTCTGTTGTGTTCCATTAGTCTATATCTCTGTTTTGGTACCAGCATCATGCTGTTTTGGTGACTGTAGCCTTGTAGTATAGTTTGAAGTCAGGTAGTGTGATGCCTCCAGCTTTGTTCTTTTGGTTTAGGATTGACTTGGCGATGCAGGCTCTTTTTTGGTTACATATGAACTTTAAAGTAGCTTTTCCAATTCTGTGAGGAAAGTCACTTGTATCTTGATGGGGATGGCATTGAATCTGTAAATTACCTTGGACAGTATGGCCATTTTCACGATATTTATTCTTCCTACCCATGAGCATGGAATGTTCTTCCTTTTGTTTGTATCCTCTTTTATTTCATTGAGCAGTGGTTTGTAGTTCTCCTTGAAGAGCTCCTTCACATCCCTTGTAAGTTGGATTCCTAGGTATTTTATTCTCTTTGAAGCAATTGTGAATGGGAGCTCTCTTGTGATTTGGCTCTCTGTTTTTCTGTTGTTGGTGTATAAGAATGCTTGTGATTTTTGCACATTGATTTTGTATCCTGAGACTTTGCTGAAGTTGCTTATCAGCTTAAGGAGATTTTGGGATGAGACGATAGGGTTTCCTAGATATACAATCATGTCATCTGCAAACAGGGACAATTTGACTTCCTCTTTTTCTAATTGAATACCCTCTATTTCCTTCTCTTGCCTGATTGCCCTGGCCAGAACTTCCAACACTATGTTGAATAGGAGTGGTGAGAGAGGACATCCTTGTCTTGTGCCAGTTTTCAAAGAGAATGCTTCCAGTTTTTGTCCATTCAGTATGATATTGGCTGTGGTTTTGTCATAGATAGCTCTTATTATTTTGAGATATGTCCCATCAATACCTAATTTATTGAGAGTTTTTAGCATGAAGGGTTGTTGAATTTTGTCAGAGGTCTTTTCTGCATCTATTGAGATAATCATGTGGTTTTTGTCTTTGGTTCTGTTTATATGCTGGATTACTTTTATTGATTTTCAAGTGTTGAACCAGCCTTGCATCCCAGAGATGAAGCCCACTTGATCACAGTGGATAAGCTTTTTGATGTGCTGCTGGATTCGGTTTGCCTGTATTTTATTGAGGATTTTTGCATCAGTGTTCATCAAGGATATTGGTCTAAAATTCTTTTTTTTGGTTGTGTCTCTGCCAGGCTTTGGTATCAGGATGATGCTGACCTCATAAGATGAGTTAGGGAGGATTCCCTCTTTTTCTATTGATTGGAATAGTTTCTGAAGGAATCGTACCAGCTCCTCCATGCACTTCCGTTAGAATTCAGCTGTGAATCCATCTGGTCCTGGACTTTTTTTTGGTTGGTAAGCTGTTGATTATTGCCTCAGTTTCAGAGCTTGTTATTGGTCTATTCAGAGATTCAACTTCTTCCTGGTTTAGTCCTGGGTGGATGTATGTGTCGAGGAATTTATCAATTTCTTCTAGATTTTCTAGTTTATTTTCATAGGGTTGTTTGTAGTATTCTCTGATGGTATTTTGTATTTCTGTGGGATTGTTGTGATATCCCCTTTATCATTTTTTATTGCATCTATTTGATTCTTCTCTCTTTTCTTCTTTATTAGTTTTGCTAACAGTCTATCAATTTTGTTGATCTTTTCAAAAAACTGGCTCCTGGATTCACTGATTTTTTTGAAGGGTTTTTGTGTCTCTATTTCTTCAGTTCTGCTCTGATCTTCGTTATTTCTTGCCTTCTGCTAGCTTTTGAATGTGTTTTCTCTTGCTTCTCTAGTTCTTTTAATTGTGATGTTAGGGTGTCAATTTTAGATCTTTCCTGCTTTCTCTTGTGGGCATTTAGTGCTATAAATTTCCCTCCACACACTGCTTTCAACGTGTCCCAGAGATTCTGGCATGTTGTGTGTTTGTTCTTGTTGGTTTCAAAGAACATCTTTATTTCTGCCTTCATGTCATTATGTACCTAGTAGTCATTCAGGAGCAGGTTATTCAGTTTCCATGAAGTTGAGTTGTTTTGAGTGAGTTTCTTAATCCTGAGTTCTAGTTTGATTGCACTGTGGTCTGAGAGACAGTTTGTTATAATTTCTGTTCTTTTACATTTGCTGAGGAGAGCTTTACTTCCAATTATATGGTCAATTTTGGAATAGGTGTGGTGTGGTGCAGAAAAGAATGTATATTCTATTGATTTGTGGTGGAGAGTTCTGTAGATGTCTATTCGTTCTGCTTGGTGCAGAGCTGAGTTCAATTCCTGGATATCATTGTTAACTTTCTGTCTCATTGATCTGTCTAATGTTGACAGTTGGGTGTTAAACTCTCCCATTATTTTTGTGTGGGAGTCTAAGTCTCTTTGTAGGTCTCTAAGGACTTGCTTTATGAATCTGGGTGCTCCTGTATTGGGTGCATATATATTTAGGATAGTTAGCTCTTCTTGTTGAATTGATCCCTTTACCATTATGTAATGGCCTTCTTTGTCTCTTTTGATCTTTGTTGGTTTAAAGTCTGTTTTATCAGAGACTAGGATTGCAACCCCTGCCTTTTTTTTGTTTTCCATTTGCTTGGTAGATCTTCCTCCATCCTTTTATTTTGAGCCTATGTGTGTCTCTGCATGTGAGATGGATTTCCTGAATACAACACACTGATGGGTCCTGACTCTTTATCCGATTTTCCAGTCTGTGTCTTTTAATTGGAGCATTTAGTCCATTTACATTTAAGTTTAATATTGTTATGTGTGAATTTGATCCTGTCATTATGATGATAGCTGGTTATTTTGCTCGTTAGTTGGTGCAGTTTCTTCCTAGCCTTGATGGTCTTTACAATTTGGCATGTTTTGCAGTCGCTGATACCGGTTGTTTCTTTCCATGTTAAGTGTTTCCTTCAGGAGCTCTTTTTGGGCAGTCCTGGTGGTGACAAAATCGGTCAGCATTTGCTTGTCTGTAAAGGATTTTATTTCTCCTTCACTTATGAAGCTTAGTTTGGCTGGATATGAAATGCTGGGTTGAAAATTCTTTTCTTTAAGAATGTTGAATATTGGTCCCCACTCTCTTCTGGCCTGTAGAGTTTCTGCCTAGAGATCAGCTGTTAGTCTGATGGGCTTCCCTTTGTGGGTAATCCGACCTTTCTCTCTGGCTGCCCTTAACATTTTTCCCTTCATTTCAACTTTGGTGTATCTGACAATTATGTGTCTTGGAGTTGCTCTTCTCGAGGGTATCTTTGTGGCATTCTCTGTATTTCCTGAATTTGAATGTTGGTTTGCCTTGCTAGATTGGGGACGTTCTTCTGGATAATATCCTGCAGAGTGTTTTCCAATTTGGTTCCATTCTCCTTGTCACTTTCATGTACACCAATCAGACGTAGATTTGGTCTTTTCACATAGTCCCATATTTCTTGGAGGCTTTGTTTGTTTCATTTTATTCTTTTTTCTCTAAACTTCTCACTTCATTTCATTCATTTCATCTTCCATCACTGATACCCTTTCTTCCAGTTGATCACATTGGCTACAGAGGTTTCTGCATTCATCACTCAGTTCTGAGCCTTGGTTTTCAGCTCCATCAGGTCCTTTAAGGACTTCTCCGCGTTAGTTACTCTAGTTAGCCATTCATCTAATTTTTTTTCAACGTTCTTAACCTCTTTGCCACTTGTTTGAACTTCCTCCTTTACCTCAGAGTAGTTTGATCGTCTGAAGACTTCTTCTCTCAACTCGTCAAAGTCATTCTCCATCCAGCTTTGTTCCATTGCTGGTGAGGATCTGTGTTCCTTTGGAGGAGGAGGTGTGCTCCGATTTTTAGAGTTTCCAGTTTTTCTGCTCTGTTTTTTCCCCATCTTTGTGGCTTTATCTACCTTTGGTCTTTAATGATGGTGATGTACAGATGGGTTTTTGGAGTGAATGTCCTTTCTGTTTGTTAGTTTTCCTTCTAACAGTCAGGACCCTTAGCTTCAGGTCTGTTGGAGTTTGCTGGAGGTCCATTCCAGACCCTGCTTTCCTGGGTATCAGCAGCAGTGACTGCAGAACAGTGGATATTGGTGAACCACAAATGTTGCTGCCTGATTTTTCCTCTGGAAGTTTTGTCTCAGAGGAATACCCGGCCATGTGAGGTGTCAGTCCGCCCCTACTGGGGGGTGCCTCCCAGTTAGGTTACTCGGGGTTCAGGGACCCACTTGAGGAGGCAGTCTGCCTGTTCTCAGATCTCAAGCTGAATGCTGGGAGAACGACTACTCTCTTCAAAGCTGTGAGACAGGGACATTTAAGTCTACAGAAGTTACTGCTGCCTTTTGTTTGTCTGTGCCCTGCCTCCAGAGGTGGAGCTTACAGAGGCAGGCAGGCCTCCTTGAGCTGTGGTGGGCTCCACCCAGTTCAAGCTTCTGGGATGCTTTGTTTACCTACTCAAGCCTTGGCAATGGTGGGTGTCCCTTCCCCAGCTTTTCTGCCACCCTGCAGTTTGATCTCAGACTGCTGTGCTAGCAATGAGTGAGACTCCGTGGGTGTAGGACCCTCTGAGCCATGTGTGGGATATAATCTCCTGGTGTGCCGTTTGTTAAGCCCATTGGAAAAGCTCAGTATTAGGGTGGGAGTGACCCGATTTTCCAGGTGCCATTGGCCACCCCTTTCTTTGACTAGGAAAGAGAATTCCCTGACCCCTTGCACTTCCTGGGTGAGGTGATGCCTTGCCCTGTTTTGGCTCATGCATGGTGCACTGCACCCACTGTCCTGCACCCACTGTCCAGCACTCCCCAGTGAGATGAACGCGGTACCTCACTTGGAAATGAGAAATCACCCATCTTCTCCTGCGCTCACCCTAGGAGCTGTAGACTGGAGCTGTTCCTATTCAGCCGTCTTGGCTCCTCGCCCCCAGGATATTCTTTTATTTTGCTATAGGCCTTAGTGGGCATGAAAATGTTTCTTCACAGATTCTATGAAAAGAGTGTTTCCAGACACCTAATTGAAAAGTAAGGTTTAACTCTGTGAACTGAGTGAACCATTCCCAAAGAAGTTGCACAGATAGCTTTTTTCTAGTTTTTATCTAGAGATACTCAGTTTTTCAATATAGGCCTCAGTGGGCTTGGAAATGTGACTTCACAGATTGTAAGAAAAGAGTGTTTCCCAGCAGGTTAAATACTTAGGGCTAAAATTATCCAAAGGCACCAGGGTCCTCTGTGAGTAACTTATCCAGCCTATACTGGCTTATCCTCATCCCGAAACCCTAAAGCAACTAAAAGTGTTCCTTGGCATAGCAGGTTTCTGCTGAATATGGATTCCCAGGTACCGCAAAATAGCCACACCACTATATACACTAATTAAAGGAACTCAGACAGCCAATACCCATTTAGTAAGCTGGACATCTGAAGCAGAAGAGGCTTTCCAGGCACTAAAGAAGGCCCTAACTTAAGCCCCAGTGTTAAGCTTCCCAACAGGGCAAGACTTTTCTTTATATGTCACAGAAAAAAACAAGAATAGCTCCAGGAGTCCTTACATAGGTCTGAGAGATGAGCTTGGAACCCATGGCATACCTGAGTAAGGAAATTGATGCAGTGGCAAAGGGTTGTCCTCATTGTTTATGGATAGTGGCAGCAGTAACAATCTAGGTATCTTTAGCAGTTAAAATAATACAAGGAAGGGATCTTACTGTGTGGACATCTCATGATGTGAACAGCATACTCACTGCTAAAGGAGACTTGTGGCTGTCAGACAACTTTTTACTTAAATATCAGGCTCTATTATTTGAAGTGCTAGTGCTGTGAATGCGCACTTGTGCAACTCTTAACCCAGCTACATTTCTTCCAGACAATAAAGAAAAGATAGAACATAACTGTCAACAAGTGATTGCTCAAACATACACCACTAGAGGGGAGGTTTTAGAGGATCCCTTCACTGATCCCAACCTCAACTTGTATACTGATGGAAGTTCCTTTGTAGAAAAACGACTTTGAATAGCAGGGTATGTGGTGGTCAGTGATAATGGAATACTTGAAAGTAATCCCCTAACTCCAGGAACTAGTGCTCAGCTGGCAGAACTAATAGCCCTCACTTGGGCACTAGAATTAGAAGGAAAAAGGGTAAATGCATATATACAGATTCTAAGTAGGCTTTCCTAGTCCTCCATGCCCATGCAGCAATATAGAGAGAAAAGGAATTCCTAACTTCTGAGGGAACACCTATCAAACATCAGGAAGCCATTAGGAAATTATTATTGGCTGTACAGGAACCTAAATATGTGGCAGTCTTATACTGCTGGGGTCATCAGAAAGGAAAGGAAAGGGAAATAGCAGGGAACCACCAAGTGGATATTGAAACCAAAAGAGCCACATGACCCCTAGTATGGTGTAATCCCCTCTGGGAAACCAAGCCCCAGTACTCAGAGGAAGAAATAGAATGGGGAACCTCATTAGACATAGTTTCCTCCCCTCAGGATGGCTAGCCACTGAAGAAGGAAAAATACTATTGCCTGCAGCTAACCAATGGGAATTACTTAAAACCCTCTGTACCCATGCTCACCTGGTAAGCCTATTTAATACCACCCTCACTGGGCTCCATGAGGTCTCAGCCCAAAACCCTACTGTTGGATGTGCCTCCCCCTGCACTTCAGGCCATATGTTTCAATCCCTGTACCTGAACAATGGAACAACTTCAGCACAGTAATAAACACCACTTCCATTTTAGTAGGACTCCCTGTTTCCAATCTGGGAGTAACCCACACATCAAACTTCACCTGTGTAAAATTTAGCAATACTTTAGAGACAATCAACTCCCAATGAATCAGGTGGGAAATTCCTCCCACACGAATAGTCTGCCTACCCTCAGGAATACTTTTTTTTTTGTCTGTGGTACCTCAGCCTATCGTTGTTTGAATGGCTCTTCAGAATCTATGTGCTTCCTCTCATTCTTAGTGTCCCCATGACCATCTACACTGAACAAGATTTATACAATCACGTACCTAAGCCCCGCAACAAAAGAGTACCCATTCTTCCTTTTGTTATTGGAGCAGGAGTGCTAGGCAGACTAGGTACTGGCATTGGCAGTATCACAACCTCTGCTCAGTTCTACTACAAACTATCTCAAGAACTAAATGGTGACATGGAATGGGTTACTGACTCCCTGGTCACCTTGCAAGTTCAACTTAACTCCCTAGCAGCAGTAGTCCTTCAAAATCAAAGAGCTTTAGACTTGCTAACCACTGAAAGTGGGGGAATCTGTTTATTATTAGGGCAAGAATGCTGTTATTATGTAAATCAATCTGGAATCATGACTGAGAAAGTTAAAGAAATTTGAGATTGATTACAACATAGAACCGAGGAGCTTCAAAACACTGGACTCTGGGGCCTTGCCATCCAATGGATGCCTTGGATTCTCCCCTTCTTAGAACCTCTAGTAGCTATAATATTGCTACTCCTCTTTGGACCCTGTATCTTTAACCTCCTTGTTAAGTTTGTCTCTTCCAGAATCAGAGCTGTAAAGCTACAAATCATTCTTCAAATGGAGCCCCAGATGCAATCCATGACTAAAATCTACCACAGATTCCTGGACTGGCCTTCTAGCCCATGCTCTGATGTTAATGATATGGAAGCCACCCCTCCTGAGGAAATCTCAACTGCACAACCCCTACTATGCTCCAATTCAGCAGGAAGCATTTAGAGTGATCGTTGGCCAACCTCCCCAACAGCACTTGGGTTTTCCTCTTGAGAGGTGGAACTGAGAGACAGAGCTACCTGGATTTCCTAGGCTGACTAAGAATCCCTAAGCCTAGCTGGCAAGGTGACTGCTTCCACCTTTAAACATGGGGCTTGCAACTGAGCTCACATCGAACCAAAAAGATAGTAAAGACAGCTCACTAAAATGCTAATTATGCAAAAACTGGAGGTAAAGAAATAGCCAATCATCTATTGTCTGAGAGCACAGCAGGAGGGTCAGTGATCAGGTTATAAACCCAGACATTCAAACTGGCAATGTCTACTTTCTTTGGGTCCCCTCCCTTTGTATGGGAGCTCTGTCTTCACTCTATTAAAGCTTGCAACTGCAAAAAGAAAAAAAAAAAAGAAAAGAAAAGAAGAGTGTTTCCAACCTGCTGAATCAAAAGAAATGTTTCACTCTGTGAACTGATTGCACACATCACCAACCAGTTTCTTTTCTTTCTTTTTTTTTTTTTTTGAGACAGAGTCTTGCTCTGTTGCCCAGGCTGGAGTGCAGTGGCACAATCTTTGCTCACTGCAAGCTCTGTCTCCCAGGTTCATGTCATTCTCCTACCTGAGGCTCCCAAGTAGCTGGGACTACAGGCACCCACCACCACACCCGACTAATTTTTTTTGTATTTTTTTTTTTTTTTTTAAGTAGAGACAGGGTTTCACTGTGTTGGCCAGGATGGTCTCGATCTCCTGACCTCATGATCTGCTCACCTCAGCCTCCCAAAGTGCTGGGATTACAGGCATAAGCCACTGTGCCTGGCCACAAATCAGTTTCAAAGAAAGCTTTTTTCTAGTTTTTATCATGGCATATTTGATATTTCACTATAGGGTTTACTGCACTTGAAATGTCCCTTTGCAGATTCTACAAAAAGAGTGCTTCCAAACTGCTGAATCAAAAGAAAGGTTTAACTCTGTGAGACGAATCCACACATCACAAAGCAGTTTCACAGATATCTTCTTTCTAGTTTTCATCTAGAAATATTTGGTTTTTCATTATAGGCTTCAGTGGGATCTGAAATGTCCCTTTGCAGATTCTACAAATATTGTGCCCAACCTGCTGAATCAAAAGAGAATATTCACTCTGTGAACTAAATGCACACATCACAAAGCATTTTCACAGATATCTTTCTTCTAGTTTTTATTTTGGGATATTCAGTTTTTCACTGTATACCTCAATGTCATCTGAAATGTCCCTTTGCAGATTCTACAAGAAGGGTGTTTCCAAACTGCTGAATTAAAAATAAGGTTTCATTCTGTTAGTTGAATGCACACATCAAAAATCACTTTCACGGAGAGATCCTTTCTATTTTTTATTTCAAAATATTCTGTTTTTCACTAAAGACTTCAGTGGACTCCAAAATATCCCTTCACCAATACTACAAAAAGAGTGTTTACAAACTGGTGAATCAAAAGTAAGATTTAACTCTGTGAGCTGATTGCACACATCACAAAGCAGTTTCACAGATAGCTTCTTTCTGGTTTTGAATTCAGGATATTTGATTTTTCACTATAGGACTTAATGCCCTCCAAAATATCCTTTCACATTTTCTAGAAAAAGATTGTTTCCAAACTACTGAATCAAAAGAAAGATTTAATTCTGTGAGTTGAATGCACTCATTGTAAAGCAGTTTCAAGATAGCTTATTTCTAGTTTTTATTTCAGGATATTCCGTTTTTTACTATAGGCCTTAGTTGGCTCTGAAATATCCCTTCACAGACTCTACAAAAAAAAGTTTCCAACCTGCTGAATTGAAAGTAAGGTTTAACTCTGTGACCTAAATGAACAAGTCACAAAGCAGTTTCACAAACATCTTCTTTCTAGTTTTTATCTAGGGTAATTCAGCTTTTCTGTATAGGCCTCAGTGGGCATCAAAATGTCCCTTCACAGACTCTACAAAAAGAGTATTCCCACCTGCTGAATCAAAAGGAAGGTTTCACTCTGTGAGCTGATTGCACACATTACAAAGCAGTTTCACAGATAGCTTCTTTCTAGTTTTTATTGCGGGATATTCTGTTTTTCATTTTTGGCTTTATAGAGCCCCAAAATGTCCCCTTGCAGGCCCTACTAAAATAGTTTTGAATTCACACATCACAAAGCAGTTTCACAGATAGCTTCTTTCTAGTTTTTATCTGGGGAAATTTGGTTTTTCACTATAGATCTCAATGGGCTCCCAAATGTTCCTTCACAGATTCTCCAAAAAGAGTGTTACAAACCTGCTTATTAAAAAGAGAGGTTTAGATCTGTGAACTGAATCCACACATCACAAAGCAGTTTCACAGACAACTTCTTTCAAGCTTTTATCGTGGGATATTCAGTTTTTCAATATAGGCCTCAATATCCTCTGAAATGTCCCTTTGCAGATTCTACAAAAAAGTGTTTTCAAACTGCTGAATCAAAAGTAAGGTTTAACTTTGTGAACTGAATGCACACATCACAAAGCAGTTTCACAGATAGCTTCTTTCTATCTTTTATCAAAGGATGTTTGGTTTTCACCACAGACCTCAATGCCCTTTGAAGTGTCCTTTTGCAGATTCTACAAAAAGAGTGAACAATCAGCTGGATCAAACTAAGATTTAACTCTGGGAGCTGAATGCACACATCACAAAGCAGTTTTACAGTTTCTTTCTAGTTTTTATATCAAGATATTTGGTATTTCACTATAGGCCTCAGTGGGCACTGAAATGTCTTTTTGCAGATTCTACAAAAATAGTGTTCCCAAACTGTGAACCAAAAGCAACGTTTAATTGTGTGAACTGAATGAACATGTCACAAAGCAGTTTCAAAGATAGGTTTTTTCTAGTATTTGTGTGTGTGTGTGTGTGTGTGTGTGTGGTGGGGGGGAATATTCGGTTTTTCAGTATAGGTCTTACTGTGCCTCGAAATGTCCCTTCACAGATTCTAGAAAAATAAATGTTTCCAATCATGCTGAATCAAAAGAAAAGTTTAACTCTGTGAGCTGAATCCACACATTAGAAAGCAGTTTCACAGGTAGATTCTTTTTAGTTTTTATTGTGTGATATTCTGTTTTTCACTGCAGGCCTCAATGCCTTCTGAAGTGTCTCCTATGCAGATTCTACATAAAGAGTGTTTCCATACTGCTGAATTAAAAGTAAGTTTTAACTCTGTGAGCTGAATGTACACATCCCAAAGCAGTTTCACAGACACCTTCTTTCTAGTTTTTATTTCAGAATATTCAGTTTTTCACTGTAGACCTCAATGCACTTTGAAATATCCTTTCAGATTCCACAAAAAGAGTGTTTCCAAACTGCTGAATGAAAAGAAAGGTTTCACTCTATGAACTGAAACACACATCACCAAGAAGTTTCACAGATAGCTTATTTTTATTTTTTATCATGGGATATTCATTTATTCACTGTAGGCCTCACTGCACTCCGAAATGTCTCTTTGTAGATTTTACAAAAAAAGTGTTTCCAAACTGCTGAATCAAAACAAAGATTTAACTCTGTAAGGTAAATGCAGACATCATGAAGCAGTTTCACCAATAGTGTCTTTCTAGTTTTTATCCCAGGATATTTAGTTTTTCACTATAGCCCTTACTGTGTTCTGAAATGTCCCTTAGCAGATTCTACAAAAAGATTGTTTTGAAACAGTTGAATCAAAAGAAAGGTTTAATTCTGTGAGCTGAATACAGACATCACAAAGCAGTTTCACAGATAACTTCTTTCTACTTTTTATCTAGGGATATTCTGTTTTTCAATATAGGCCTTATAGCACTCTGAAATGTCCCTTTGCAGATTCTACAAAAAGAATGTTTCCAACCTGCTGAATAAAAAGAAAGGTTTAACTCTGTGAGCTGAATGCACATATCAACAAAGCAGTTTAGCCGATTACTTCTTATAGCAGGGTAGAACCCTTACTGTTCACTGAAATGTCCCTTCACTGATTCTACAAAAAGAGTGTTTTCCAACTGTTGAATCAAAAGAAAACTTTAACTCTGTAAGTTGAATCCACAAATCACAAAGCAGTTTCACAGGTACTTTCTTCTAGATTTTATAGCAAGATATTCAATTTTTCCCTATGGGCCCAGTGGGCTTTGAAATGACCCTTAGCAGATTCTACAAAAACATTTTTTCCAATCTGTGGAATAGAAAGAAAGGTTAACTCTGAGAGCTGAATGCAGTGATCACAAAGTAGTATCAAAGATAGGTTCTTTTATTTTTATCATGGCATATTCTGTTTTTCACTGTAGGGTGTAGTGGGCTCTGAAACGTCCCTTTGCAGATACTACATAAAGAGCGTTTCCAAAGTGCTGAATCAAAAGAAAAGTTTAATGCTGCAAGCTTAATCAACACATGAAAAAGCAGTTTCACAAATAGCTTCTTTTGAGGTTTTATCATGGGATATTCAGTTTTTCACTATAGGCCTAGTGGGCTCTGAAATGTCCCTTCACATATACAGAAAAAGAGTGTTTCTAAACTGCTGAATCAAAATAATGTTTTAATTCTGTGAACTGAATCCACACCTCACAAAGCATTTTCACAGATAGATTCTTTTTAGTTTTTATTGCAGGATATTCTGTTTTTCACTATAGACCTTACTGTACTCTGAAATGTCCCTTTGCATAATCTACAAAAACAATGTTTCCAACATGCTGAATCAATAGAAAGGCTTAGCTCTGTTAGCTGAATGCACACATCACAAAGTAGTTTTACAGATAGCTTCTTTACAGTTTTTATCACAGGATATTTGTTTTTTCATATAGGCCTCACTGTGCTTCAAAATGTCTCTTTGCACATTCTACATAAAGAGTGTTTCCAAACATCTGAAAAAAGGAAAGGTTTAACTCTAGGAGCTGAATGCAGACATCAGAAGCAGTTTCACAGATAATTTCTTTCTGATTTTTATGTAGGGATATTAGTTTTTTTATACAGGCCTTACTATGTTCTGAAATGTCACTTCGCAGATTCTTCAAAAAGAGTGTTTTCAAACTGCTGAATCAAAGAATGTTTTAACTCTGTGAGCTGAATCCACACATCCCAAAGCAGTTTTACAGATAGAGTCTTCCTAGATTTTATTGTGGGATATTTTGTTTTTCCCTATAGGTCTAGTTGGCTCTGAAATATCCCTTTGCAGATTCTACAAAAAGAGTTTTTCCAAATAGCTGAATCAAAAGAAAGGCTAAACACTGTGAGCTGAGTCCACACATCACAAAGTAGTATCACAGATAGCTTCTTACTGTTTTTTATCGTGGGTTATTCCATTTTCCCTATAGGCCATGATGCCCTCTGAAATGTCCCTTTGCAGATCCTATAAAAAGAGTGTTTCCAAACTGCTGAATGAAAAAAAAATTTAAATGTGTGAGCCGAATGCACACTTCCCAAAGCAGATTCACAGATAAATTATCTCTAATTTTTATCACAGGACAATCCGTTTTTCACTGTTGACCTTATTGAACTTAAAAATGTCTGTTTGCAGATTCTGTGAAAAAAGTTTTTCCAAACTGCTGAATCTAAAGAACAGTGTAACTCTGGGAGCTGAATCCACATATCACAAAGTAGTTACACAGATAGCTTCTTTCTAGTTTTTATTTCTGGCTATTTGGCTTCACACTGTAGAGCTCACTGCACTCTGAAATGTCTCTTCACAGATTCTACAAAAAGAGTGTTTCCAAAGTGCTGAATCAAAAGAAAAGATTACGTCTGTGAGCTGAATCCACATATCACAAAGCAGTTTCACAGGTAACTTCTTTCAAGTTTTTATCACATGATATTTGTTTTTTACACTATAGGCCTCCATACCCTCCAAAATGTCCCTATGCAGATTATACAAAAAGTGTTTTTTCAAACTGCTGAATTAAAAGTAATGTTTAACTCTATGAGCTGAATGCACACATCACAACGCAGTTTCACAGATAACTTCTTTCTAGTTTTTATCTAGAGATATACTGTTTTTCACTACAGGCCTTACTGCACTCTGAAATGTCCATTTGTGGATTCTACAAAACAGTGTTTCCAAACAGCTGAATCAAAACAACAGTTTAAGTTTCTGAGCTGAATCCACACATAACAAAGCAGTTTCACAGACATTGTCTTTCTGGATTTTATCATGGGATATTCAGTTTTTCAATATAGGCCTACTGGGCTCCAAAAAGTCCCTTTGGAGATTCCATCCACCAAAAAGAGTGTTTTCAAACTGCTGAATCAAAAGAAAGGTATAACTCTGTGAGGTGAATGCAGTCATCACAACACGGTTTCACAGATAGCTTTTTTGTAGTTTCCATCATGGAATATTCGGTTTTTCACTATGGGTCTTACTGTGCTCTGTAATGTCCCTTAGAAGATTCTACAAAAAGAGTGTTTCCAACCTGTCTCATCAAAAGAAAAGCTTTACTCTGTGAGCTGAATCCACACATCACAAAGCAGTTTCACAGACAGCTTGTTACTAGTTTTTATCCCGGGCTTTTCTGGTTTTTACTGTAGACCTCAATGTACTCCGAAATGTCCCTTGGTAAATTCTACAAAATCAGTATTTCCAAACCACTGAATGGAAAGAATGGCTTAACTCTGTGAGCTGCATGCACACATCACAAATCAGAGTTACAGATAACTTCTTTATAGTTTTTATTGTGGGATAATCTGTTTTTCACTATAGACTTTACTGCGCTTTGAAATGTCTCTCGCAGATTCTACAAAAACAGTGTTTCCAAACTGCTGAATCAAAATAAAGGTTTGACACTGTGAACTGAATCCACACCTCACAAAGCAGTTTCACAGAGATTTTCTTTCAAGTTTTTATCGAGAAATATTCAATGTTTCACTATAGGCCTCAATGCCCTCCCAAATGTTCCTTCACAGATTCTACAAAAAGAGTGCTTCCAAACTGCTGAATCAAAAGAAAGGTTTAACTCTGTGAGTTGAATGCACACATCACAAAGCATTTTCCCAGATTTCTTCCTTCTAGTTTTTATCATGGAATATTCTGTTTTTCACTATAGGCCTTACTGTGCACAAAAATGTCCCTTCACTGATTCTACAAAAAGAGTGTTTCAAAACTGCTGAATCAAAAAACGGTTCAACTCTGTGAGCTGAATCCACACTTCACAATTCAGTTTCACAGATAGCTTCTTTCTAGATTTTATTACAAGGTATTCAATTTTTTCCTATAGGTATGGTGGGCTCTGAAATGTCTCCTCTTAGATTCTACCAAAAGAGTGTTTCCCAACTGAGGAATAAAAAGAAAGGTTTAACTCTGTAAGCTGAATGCAGACATAACAAAGCAGTTTCACAGATAGCATCTTTCTGGGTTTTGTCTCAAGATATTCAGTTTTTCACTATAGGGCATAGTGGGCTCTGAAATGTCCCACTACCCAATCCACAAAAAGAGTGTTTCCAAACTGCTGAATCAAAAGAAAGGTTTAGCTCTGTGAGCTAAATACACACAACACAAAGAAGTTACACAGAAAGCTTTTTTACAGTTCTTATTGTGGGATATTCTGTTATCACTATAGGCCTTATTGTGCTCTGAAACATCCCTTTGCATAGTCTACAAAAAGAATGTTTCCAATCTGCTGAATCAATAGAAAGACTTAACTATGTGAGCTGAATATACACATGACAAAGCAGTTTCACAGATAGCTTATTTCTAGTTTTTATTGCAGGATATTCAGTTTTTTACTATAAGCCTTACTGTGCTTTGAAATGTTTCTTCACAGATTCTACATAAGGAGTGTTTCCAAACTGCTGAATAAAAAGAATGGTTTACCTGTGAGCTGAATGCAGACTTCACAAAGCAATTTCACAGATAACTTCTTTCTAGTTTTTATCATGAGATATTTGATTTTTCACAATAAGCCTTACTGAACTCTGAAATGTCCCTTAGCAAATTGTACAGAGTGTTTCCAAACTGCTGAATCAAAAAAAAAAAAAAAGTTTAGCTCTCTGAGCTGAACTTATACATCACAAAGCCATTTCACAGATAGCTTCTTTTTAGTTTTTTTCATGGGACATTCAGGTTTTCACTACAGGACTTGTGCTCTGAAATGGCCCTTTGCATATTCTAAAAAAAAGAGGGTTTCCTACCTGCAGAATCAAAAGAAAGGTTTAACTCTGTGAGCTGAAACCACACATCACAAAGTAGTTTCACAGAAAGCTTATTTCTAGATATTATCAAGAGATATCGGTTTTTCACTATAGGGCTAGGGGGCTGTGAATTGTCCCTTTGCAGATTCTATGAAAAGAGTGTTTCCAAACTGCTGAATCAAAAGAAAGGTTAACTCTGTGGGCTGAATCTACACAATCCAAAGCAGTTTCACAGATAGCTTCTTTCTAGTGTTTATCCCTAGCTATTCAGTTTTTCACTGTAGGCCTCACTGCACTCCGAAATGTCTCTCCACAGATTCTATGTAATGAGTATTCACAAACTGCTGAATAAAAAGAAAAGTTTAACCTGTGAGCTGAATGCCAACATCACAAAGCAGTTTTACAGACAACATCTTCCCAGTTTTTATCATGAGATAATTGGTTTTTCACTATAGGCCTTACTGAGCTCTGAAATGTCCCTTCACAGATTCTACAAAAAGAGTGTTTCCAAACTGCTTGAATCAAAAGAAAAGATGAATTCTGTGAACTTAATCCACATATCACAAAGCAGTTTCAGTTAGCTTCTTTCTGTTTTTCTTCATGGGATATTCAGTTTTTCACTATAGGCCTAGTGGCCTCTGAAATGTCCCTTCACAGATTCTACAAAAAGAGTATTTCCAAGAGTTGAATCAAAAGAAAGGTTTAACCCTGTGATCTGAATGCAGACATCACAAAAAAGTTTCACAGATAGCTTCTTCCTAATTTTTATCACGGGATATTGGGTTTTTTACTATAAGACTTAATGTGCTCTGAAATGTCCCTTAGCAGATTCTACAAATAGAGCGTTTCCAAACTGCTGAATTAAAAGAAAGTTTTAACTCTGGAAGCTGAATCCATACATCACAAAGCGGTTTCACAGATAGTTTCTTGCTAGTTTTTATCACGGGCTATTCAGTTTTTCACTATAGGCCTCAATGTCCTCTGAAATGTGCCTTTGTAGATTCTACAAAAAGAGTGTTTCCAAAATGCTGAATAATAATAAAGGTTTATCTCTGTGAGCTGAATGCACACATCACAAAGCAGATTCACAGATAACTTCTCTAGTTTTTATTGGAGGAAAATTGGTTTTTCACTATAGGCATTGCTTTGCTATGATGTGTCCCTTCGAAGATTCTACAAAAGGAGTTTATCCAAACTGCTGAATGAAAAAAATGGTTTCACTCTGTGAGCTGAATCCACACATCACAAAGCAGTTTCACAGATAACTTCTTTGTAGATTTCATCACAGGATATTCAGTTTTTCAATATAGGCCTCAATGACCTCCAAAATGTCCCTTCACAGATTCTACAAAAAGAGTGTCTCCAAACTGCTGAATCAAAAGTAAGGTTTAACTCAGTGAGCTGAATGTGCACATCAGAAAGAAGTTCTATGATAACTTCTTTCTACTTTTTATCTAGGGATATTCGGTTTTTCACTATAGGCCTTACTGTGCTCCAAAATGTCTTGTAGCAGATTCTACAAGAGTGTTTCCAAACTGCTGAATGAAAAGAACAGTTTAACTTTGTGAGCTGAATCCACACATCACATCACAAAGTAGTTTCTCAGATAGTTTCTTTTGATATTGTATTGCAAGGTATTTGGTTTTTCACTATAGGCTTAGTGATCTCAGAAATGCCCCTTCACAGATTTTACAAAAAGAGTACTTCCAAAATTCTGAATCAAAAGAAAGGGTTAACACTGTGACCTAAATGCAGACAACACAAAGCAGTTGCACAGATTGCTTCTTTCTTGTTTTTATCACAGTATATTCAGTTTTTCACTATAGGCCTTACTGTGCTCTGAAATGTCCTTTAGCAGATTCTACAAAAAGAGTGTTTGCAAACTGCTGAAATAAAAGAGATGTTTAACTCTGTGAGCTGAATCCCCACATTACAAAGCAGTTTCTCACATAGCTTCTTTTTAATTATTATCTTGGGATATTCTATTTTGCACTATAGGCCATAATATGCTCTGAAATATCCATTTGCATATTCTACAAAGAGTGTTTCCAACCTTTTGAATCAAAAGACAGGTTTAATTCTGTGAGCTGAGTCCACACATCACAAAGCAGTTTCACAGATAGCTTCTTTTTAGCTTTTCTGGTGAGATATTCGGTTTTTCAATACAGGCATTACTGCACTCTGAAATTTCCCTTAGCTGATCCTACAAAAAGAGTTTTTCCAAACTGCTGAGTCAAAATAAAGATATAATGTGATCTGACTCCACACATCACAAAGCAGTTTCACAGATAGCTTCTTTTTAGTTTTTATTGTAAGATATTCTGTTTTTCACTATAGGGCTCACTGTGCTCTGTAATGTTTTCTCGCATATTCTACAAAAAATAGTGTTTCCAATCTCCTGAATCAAAAGAAAGATTTAACTCTGCAAGCTGAGTCTTCTCATCACCAAGCAGTTTCACACATAGCTTCTTTCTAGTTTTTCATTGCAAGATATTTGGTTTTTCACTATAAACTTCACTGTGGTCTGAAACATCTCTTCTACAAAAAAAGTGTTTCCAATCTGCTGAATCAAAAGAAAGGTTTACCTTTGTGAGCTAAATGCAGAAACCACATAGCGGTTTTACATAACTTATTTCTAGTTATTATCTAGGCATATTTGGTCTTTTACTATAGGCCTTACTGCACTCTGAAATGTCCTTTTACAGTTTCTACAAATAGAGTGTTTCCAATCTGCTGAATCAAAAGAAAGTTTTAACTCAGTGAACTGAATCTATACATCACAGAGCAGTTTCACAGATAGCTTCTTCCTAGTTTTAATCACAAGATATTTAGATTTTCACTATAGACTTAGTAGGCTCCAAATTATTCCTTGCAGATCCTACAAAAATTTATTTTTCCAAACTGCTGAATCAAAAGAAGGTTTAACTTTGTGAGACAAATGCAGATATTACAAAGCAGTTTCACAGACAGCTTCTTTCTAGTTTTTATCACGAGCTATTCTGTTTTTCACTATAGGCCTCACTGCACTCCAAAATGTCTCTTTGCAGATCCTAGAAAAAGTGTGTTTCAAAACTGGTGAGTCAAAAGAAAGATTTGGCTCTGTGAGGTGAATGCAGACATCATAAAGCAGTTTCACAGATAACTTTTGTTTGGTTTTTATCAGCGATATTCAGTTTTTCACTAAAATCCTTATTGTGGTCTGAAATGTCTCTTCTCAGGTTCCCCAAAAAGAGTGTTTGAAACCTCCTGAATCAAAAGAAAAGTTTAACTCTTTGAGCTGAATCCACCCATCACAAAGCAGTTTCAGATACCTTCTTTCTAGATTTTATTGTGAGATATTAGGTTTTTTACTATAGGCCTAGTTGTCTCTGAAATATCCCTTTACAGATTTTACAAAAGAGTGTTTCCAAACTGCTGAATCAAAACAAAGGTTTAATTCTGTGAGTTGAATGCAGATATCACAAAGCAGCTTCACAGATAGTGTATTTTTAGCTTCTGTCATGGGATATTCGGTTTTTCACTGTATGTCTTACTGTACTCCAAAATATCTTTCAGCAGATTTCACAAAAGGAGTGTTTCCAATATGTGAATCAAAGGAAAGGTTTAATTCTGTGAGCTGAGTTGAGACATCACAAAAGAAATATCACAGATAGCTTCTTTAAGATTTTATGGTGAGACAGTCGATTTTACACTATCGGCCTGGTTGTCTCTGAAATGATCCTTTGCAGATTTTTCAAAAAGTATGTTTTCAAACTGCTGAATCAACAGAAAGCTTTAACTATTTCAACTGAACGCACACATCACAAAACAGTTGTGCAGATAGCTTCTTTTTGTTTTTATCTCTAGATCTTTTGTTTTTTACTATTGGCCTTACTGTGCTCTGAAATGTCCTTTTGCATATTTTAGAAAAAGAGTGCTTCCACCCTGCTGAACCAAAGGAAACGCTTAACTTTGTAAGCTGAATCCACACATCACACAGCATTTTCACACAGAGTTTTTACTAGTTTTTATTGCAGGCTACTAGGTTTTTTACTATAGTTCTCAATGTCCACCAAAATGTCCCTTTGCATGTTCTAAAAAAAGAGTTTCCAAACTGCTGAATGAAAAGAAAGGTTTACCTCTGTGAGCTGCATCCAGACAGCATAAAGCAGTTCCACAGGTAACATCTTTTAAGTTTTTATCATGAGATATTCAATTTTTTACTACAGGCCTCAATACCTTCCAAATTATACAAAATCAAAACCAAAAGTAAGGTTTAACTCTGTGAGCTGAATGCATACGCCAGAAAGCAGTTTCACAGATAACTTTTTCTAATTTTTGTCTGGAGATCTTTTGTTTTTCACTATAGGTCTTATTGAGCTCCAAAATATCCCTTCTCTGATTCTACAAAAAGAGTGTTTATGAGCTGCTAAATCAAAGGAACAGTTTAACTTTGTGAGGTGAATCTGCATATCACAAAGCAGGTTAACAGATAGATTATTTCTGGATTTTATCACAGGATATTCTGTATTTCACTATAGGTCCACTGGGGTCCAAAATGTCCCTTTGCAGATCCTAAAAAATGAGTGTTTCCAAACTGCTGAATCAAAAGAAAGTTTTAACACTGTGAGCTGAATGTAGACATCACAAAGCAGTTTCACAGATAGCTTCTTCCTAATTTTTACACGGGATATTCATTTTTTTTTACAGTCCTTACTGCACTCTGAAATGTCACTTTGCAGATTCTACAAACAGTATTTCCAAACTGTTGAATCAAAGATAGGTCTAAATTTGTGAACTGAATGCACACATCACAAAGCAGTTTTGCATATAGCTTCTTTTTGTTTTTTATCATGGGATATTTTGTTTTTCACTATAGATTTTATTTTTTTCTGAAATGTCCCTTCATATATTCTGCAAGAAGAGTGTTTCCAACTACTGAATCAAGAGAGAGGCTTAACTCTGTGAGATGAATCCACACATCACAAAGCAGTTTCACATAGCTTCTTCTTACTAATTATTTTCACAGGCTATTCTCTTTTTCACTATAGGCCTCAATGTCCTCAGAAATGTCCATTCACAGATTCTACAAAAGGAGTTTTTCCAAACTGCTGAATGAAAAGAAAGGTTTAACTTTGTGAACTGAATGCACACATCACATAGCAGACTCACAGCTATCTTCTTTCTAGTTTTTATTGTGGGATAATTGGTTTTTCACTATAGACCTTACTGCACTCAGAAATGTCTCTTCGCATATTCTACAAAAAGAGTGTTTCCAAACTGCTGAGTCAAAAGAACGGTTTAATTCTTTTGAGCTGAAAGCACACATCACAAAGCATTTCAAAGATAGCTTCTTTCTACTTTTTATCATGGGATATTCACTTTATCATTATGGGGTTCACTGTGCTCCAAAAGGTCTCTTCAGAGATTCTACAAAAAGAATGTTTCCTAACTGATGAATCAAAATAATGTTTAAATCTGTGAGTTGAATGCACACCTCAGGAAGCAGTTTCAATGATAAACTTTTTCTAGTTTTTATCTAGGAATATTCAGTTTCTCACTATAGGCCTGACAGCACCCTGAAATGTCCCTTTGCAGATTCTACAAAAAAAGTGTTTCCAAACTGCAGCATCCAAAAAATGGTTTATTTTTTGAGCTGAATCCACAAATTGCAAAATACTTTCTCATATAGCTTCTTTCTAGATTTTATCATGGGATGTTCACTTTTTCACTAGAGGCCTAGGGGTCTTGAAATGTCCCTTCACAGATTCTACACAAAGAGAGTTTCCAAACTGCTGAATCAAAAGAAAGGCTTAACCTTGTGAGTTGAATGGAGGCTTGACAAGCATTTTCACAGATAGCTTCTTTCTAGTTTTTATCACAGGATATTTGGTTTTTCACTATAGGCCTTACTGTGCTCTGAAATATCCCTACACAGATTCTGCAAAAAGACTGTTTCCAAACCACTGAATTAAAAAAAAAAAAATGGTTTAACCCTGTGAGCTGAAGCCACACATCACAACGTAGTTTCACAGATAGTTTCCTTTTAGTTTTTATCATGGGATATTCAGTTTTCACTATAGGCCTTTTTGTTCTTTTAAATGGTCCTTCACAGATTCTGCAAAAACACTGTATGTAACCTGCTGAATCAAAAGAAGGGTTTAACTCTGTGAACTGTATCCACACAACAAAAAGCAGTTTCATAGATGCCTTCTTTCTAGATTTTATTGTGAGGTATTCTGCTTTTCTCTATAAGCAAAATGGAATTCTAAATGTCCTTTTGCAGATTCTACAAAAAGAGTGTTTCCAAACTGGTGAAAGAAAAGAAAGGTTTAAATGTGTGAGATGAATCCACACATCACAAGGCAGTTTCACAGGTAGCTTTTTTCTAGTTGTTTAGCAGGATATTCCGTTTTCAGTGTAGGACTCACTGCACTCTGAAATGTCCCTTTGCAGATTTTACAAAAAGAGTATTTCCGAACTGCTGAATCAAAGGAAAGGTTCAACTCTTGGAGCTGAATCCACACATGACAAAGCCTTTTCACAGATAGCTTTCCTCTAGATTTTATCTCAGGACATTCTGTTTTCCACTATAGGCCTCAATGTGCTCTGAAATGTCCCTTCAAAGATTCCACAAAAAAAGTGCTTCCAAACTGTGGACTCAAAAGTATGGTTTAACTCTGTGAGCTCAATTCACACATCACAGAGCAGTTTCACAGATAAATTCTTTCTCGTTTTCATTGGGGGATATTCAGTTTTTTATGATCAGCCTTACTCTGCTTCAAAATGTACCTTCGCAGACTCTACAAAAAGAGTGTTTCCAAACTGCTGAACCAAAATAAAAGTTTAACTCTGTGAGCTGAATTCCCACATCACAGAGCAGTTTCAAAGATAGATTCTGTTTAGATTTTTTGTGGGATATTTGATTTATCACTACAGCCCTTGTGGGCTCTGGAATGTCCCTTTGCAGATTCTACAAAAAAAGTTTTCAAACTGCTTAATCAAAAGAAAGGTTTAACTCTGTGAGCCAAATGTAGACATCACAAAGCAGTTTCACAGATAACTTCTTTCCAGTTTTTATCACAGGATATTCTGTTTCTCACTATAGACCTTACTGCACTCCGAAATGCTTCTTCATAGATTCTACAAAAAGAGGGTTTTAAAACTGGTGAATCAAAAGGAACTTTTACACCTTTGAGCCAAATATGGACATCATAAAGTAGTTTCACAGATAACTTCTTTCTAATTTTTATCACAGGATATTCAGTTTTTCATGATAGGTCTTCCTACGTTTCAAAGTGTCCATCAGCAAATCCTACAAAAAGATTGTTTCCAAACTGCTGAATCAAAAGAAAGGTTTAAGTCTGTGAGTTGATTCTACAAGAAACAAGGCAGTTTCACAGATAGCTTCTTTCTAGTTTTTAATGTGGGACATTGTGTTTTTCACTATAGGCCTTACTGTGCTTCAAAATGTTCCTTAGCAGATTCTACAAAAAGAGTGTTTCCAAACTGCTGAATCCAAAGAAAGGTTTAACTCTATGAACTGAATCCACACATAACAAAGCAGTTTCACAGATAGCTTCCTTTTAGTTTTCATCGCATGATATTTGGTTTTTCACTATAGCCTTACTGTGCTGTGAAATGTCCCTTCACATATTCTGCAAAAAGAGTGTCTCAAAACTGCTGAATCAAAAGAAAGATTTAATGCTGTGAGCTTAGTGCAGAAATCACAAAGCAGTTTCAAAAATACATTCTTCCTAGTTTTAATGTGAGGATATTCTGTTTTTCACTATAGGCCTTACTTCACTCAGAAATGTCCCTTCACAGATTATACAAAAAGAGTGTTTCCAAACTGCTGAATCAAAAGGATGGTTTAACTCAGTGAGTTGAATCCACACATCACAAAGCAATGTTACAGATAGCTTCTTTCAAGTTTTTATCACAGGATATTGGGTTTTCCACTACAGGCACCAATGCCCTCAGAAATGTCCCTTCACAGATACTCCAAAAAGAGTTTCAAAACTACTGAATCTTAAAAAGGTTTTAACTCTGTGAGATGAATCCACACATCACAAAGCAGTTTCACAGATAACTTTTTTCTAGTTTTTATTGTGGGATGTTCAGTTTTTAACTATAGGCCTTACTGTTCTCTAAAACGTCTCTATGTGGATCCTACAAAAAGAATATTTCCAAACTGCTGAATCAAAAGAATGGTTTATCTCTTTGAGATGAATGCACACATCACAAAGCAGTTTCACAGTAAAGTTTTTTGTAGTTTTTTTTTTGCAGGATATTCAGTTTTTCACTATTGGCCTTACCTTGCTCCAAAGTGTCCATCAGCAAATCCTACAAAAAGATTGTTTCCAAACTACTGAATCAAAAGAAAGGTTTAACTCTGTGAGATGAATCCACACATAGCAAAGCAGTTTCACTGATAGCATTTTTTCATATTTTATTGTGGAATATTCGTTTTTTTCACCATAGTCCACGTTGGGGTCAAATGTCTCTTTGAAGATTCTACAAAAAGAGTGAGCTGGATGCCCACATCAGAACACAGTTTCACAGATAGCTTCTTTCTAGTTTTTATTGTGTGATGTTCAGTTTTTCACTATAGGCCTTACTGCTCTCTGAAATGTCCATCTGCAGATTTTTCAAAAAAGTGTCTCCAAAGTGCTGAGTCAAAAGAAATTTTTAACTCTGTGAGCTGAATCCACACATCACAAAGCAGTTTCACAGACAGGTTATTTTAAGTTTTCATTGCAGGATGTTCAGTTATTCACTATAGGTTTTAGTGTCCTCTGAAATGTCTTTTTGCAGGTTCTACAAAAAGTATGTTTGCAAACTCATGAATTAAAGAAAGGCTTAACCCTGTGAGCTGAATGCAGATATCACAAAGCAGTTTCACAGATGTTCGATTTTTCCCCAGAGGACTAGTGGGCTCAAAAATGTCCCTTCGAAGATTCTACTGAAACAGTGTTTTCAAACTGCTGAGTCAAAAGACAGGTTTAACTCTTTGAGCTGAATTCAGACATCATGAAGCAGTTTCTCAGATAGATTCTTTCTAGTTTTTATTGCAGGATATTAGGTTTTTCTGTATAGGCCTCACTGTGCTCCAAAACGTCCCTTCAGAAATTCAAATGAAAGGGTGTTTCCAAGCTGTTGAATCAAAAGAAAGGTTTACGTTTGTGAGCTGAATCCACACATGACAAAGGAGTTTCACAGATAGCTTCTTATTAGTTTTCATCACAGGATTTTTTTTTTTTGCTACAGGTCTCACTGTTCTCCAAAATGTCTCTTATCAGATTCTACAAAAGGAGTGTTTGAAATTAGCTGAATCTAAAGAAAGTTTTAACTCTGTGAGCTAAATGCAGACATCACAAAGCAGTTTCACAGATAAATTCTTTCTATTTTTATCTAGGGATATTCAGTTTTTCACTACAGTCCTTACTGGGCTCTGAAAAGTCCATTTGCAGATTCTACAGAAGGATTTTTTCCAAACTGCTAAATCAAAAGAACAGTTTAACAAAGTGAGTTTAATCCACACATCACAAAGCAGTTTCACAGATAGCTTCCTTCAAGTTTTCATTGTAGGATATTCAGTTTTTCACTATAGGTCCCAATGCCCTTTGAAATGTCCCTTTGCTGATTTTGTAAAAAGAGTGTTTCCAAACTGCTGAATGAAAAGAAAGGTTTAACTCTGTCAGCTCAATGCAGTCATCACAAGGTAGTTTCACAGATAGATTCTTTGTAGTTTTTATCTGGGGATAATTTTTTTTCCCATAAGCCCTAATGGGCTCCCAAATTTCCCTTCACTGATTCTCCAAAAAGAATGTTTCCAACCTGTCAAATCAACAGAAAGTTTTAACTCTGTGAGATGAATCCACTCATCATGAAGCAGTTTCACAGATAGTTTCTTTTTAGTTTTTATTGAAAGATATTCAGATTTCACTGTAGGCCTCAGTGGGTTTTTCAATGTCAGTTCTTAGATTCTACAAAAAGAGTGTTTCTGACGTGATGAAACAAAAGAAATGTTCAACTCTGTGAGCTGAATCCACACATCACAAAGTAGTTTCACAGGTAGCTTCTTTCAGTTGTTAACATGGGCCTAGTGGGCTCTGAAAAGTCCTTTTGTGGTTTCTACAAAAAGAGTGTTGCCAAACTGCTGAATCAAAGGAAAGGTATAACTCTGTGAGCTGAAGGGAGACATCAGAAAGCAGTTTCAAAGATAAATTCTTTCTAGTTTTTATCTAGGGATACTCAGTTTTTCACTATAGGCCTTACTATGCACTCAAATATCCAATCACAGTTTCTGCAAAAAGAGTGTTTTCAACCTGCTGAATCGAAACGGAAGTTTAGCTTTGTGAGCTGAATCCACACATCACAAAGCAGTTTCACAGATAGTCTGTTTCTAGTTTTTATTGGAGGATATTCAGTTTTTCTCTTTTGGCCTCAATGCCCTCCAAAATGTTTCTTCTTCGTGGATTCTACAAAGAGTTTCTTCAAACTGCTGAATCAAAAGAAAGTTTAACTTTTTGAGCTGAATCCACACATCACAAAGCAGTTTCACAGATAATTTTTTCTAGTTTTTATTGCCAGATATTTGGCTTTCCACTGTAGGACTTTTTGCGCTCTGACATGCCCTTTCACAGATTCTACAAAAAGAGTGTTTCCAAACTGTTGAATCAAAGAATGGTGTAAATCAGAGAGCTGAATCCAAACATCACAAAGCAGTTTCCCAGATAGCATCCTTCTAGATTTCATAGCAGGATATTCTGATTTTCACTATAGGCCTAGTAGGTTCAGAAATGTCCCCTCACAGATCCTACAAAAAGGCTGTTTCCAAACTGTTGAGTTTATAGAAAGCTTTAACTTGGTGAGCTGAATGCAGACATTAGAAAGCAGTTTTGCAGATAGATACTTTCTAGTATTAATTGCAGGATACTCGGTTTTTCACTATAGGCTTTTCTGCACCCTGAAATGTCCCTTTGAAGATTCTACAAAAAGAGTGTTTCCAAACTGCTGAATCAAAGGAAATGTTTAACTCTTTGAGCTGAATGCACACATCACATAGCAGTTTCACAGATAGTTTCTTTTTATTTTTATTGTGAGATATTCAGTTTTTCACTAAAGGCCTTACAGTGCTCTGAAATATCCATTCGCATATTTTTTAAAAAGTGATTCCAACCAGCTGAATCAAAAGGAAGGTTGAACTCTGTTAGCTGAATCCATACATCACAAAGCAGTTTCACAGACAGCTTGTTTCTAGTTTTTATTGCAGGATACTCATTTTTTTTATCATAGGAGTCACTGCACTCTGATATGCCTCTTCGTAGATTCTACAAAAAGAGTTTTTCCAAACTGGTTGAGAAAAAGAAAGGTTTAACTTTGTCAGCTGAATGCAGACATCACAAAGCAGTTTCACAGATAATTTTTTAAGCTTTTTTCTAGGGATATTCAGTTTTTCACTTAGGGCTTACTGCACTCAGAAATGTCCCTTTGCAGATTCTACAAAAAGAGAGATTTCAACCTGGTGAATCAAAAGAAAGATTTAACTCAGATGAAACCACACATAAAAAAGCAGTTTCACAGATAGCTTATTTCCAGTTTTTATCTGGGGATATTAGGATTTTCACAAAGGGTCTGGTGGGCTCCAAAATGCCCCTTCAAAGATTCTACAAAAAACAGTTTCCAAACTGATGAATAAAAGGAAAGATTTAACTCTGTGGGCTGAATGCAGGCATCACAAAGCAGTCACAAATAGCATCTTTCAAGATTTTATCACAGCCTATTCAGTTTTTCACTATAGGCCTTATGGCCCTTTGAAATGTACCTTCACAGTTTATACAACAAGGGTGTTTCCAACTTGATGACTCAAAAGAAATGTTTAACTCTGTGAGCTGAATGTAGACATTAAAAAGCAGTTTCATACATAACATTTTGTGGGATATTAGGTTTTTCACTATAGGCCAAGTGGGCTTTGAAATGTCTCTTTGCAGATTCTATAAAAAAAGTTTTTCCAAACTGAAGAATAAAAGGAAAGGTTTAATTCTGTGAGCTGAATGCAGACATCACAAAGCAGTTTCACAGATAGCTTCATTCTAGTTTTTATCTCGAGATATTCTGTTTTTCATGATAAGACTTACTGTGCTCTGAAATGTCCCTCTGCTGATTCTACATACAAAAGGAGTGTTTCCAAACTGCTGAAACAAACAAACAAAAAGGTTTAACTCTGTGGACTGAATCTACACGTCACAAAGCAGTTTCACAGATAAATTCTCTCTAGTTTTTATCACAGGATATTCAGGTTTTCACTATAGGCCTCCACACGTTCCAAAATGTCACTTCGCAGATTCTACAAAAAAAGTGTTTCCAACCTACTGAATCAAAAGAAAGTATTAATTTATGAGCTGCATCCACAAATCACAAAGTAGTTTCACAGATAGCTTCCTTGTAGTTTTTATTGTGGGATATTCCATTTTCACTATTTGCCTCAGTATGCTCCAAAATATCCTCTCACAGAATCTACAAAAAGTGTGTCGCCAACCTGCTGATTCTAAAGAAAGGTTTAATCCTGTGGGCTGAATTCATTCATCACAAACAGTTTCACAGATATTTCTTTCTAATTTTTATAGTAGGATATTCTCTTTCTCATTATAGGCCTCAGTGCACTTTGAAATGTCCCTTCGCAGATTCTACCAAAAGGGTTTCCAAACTGCTGAATCAAAAGAATGGTTTAACTCTCTGAGCTGAATTCATCCATCACAAAGCAGTTTCACTGATACATTCTTCTTAGTTTTTATTGTGTGATATTCTGTTTCACACTACAGGCCTCAGTGCATTTTGAAATGTCCCTTCACATATTCTACAAAGGAGTGTTTCCAACCTGATGAATCAAAAGAGAGATTTAACTCTGTGAGCTGAATCCACATATCACCAATCAGTTTCACAGATAGTTTCTTTCTAGTTTTTATTGAAAGATATTTGGATTTCACTGTAGGCCTCAGTGGGTTTTTCAATGTTGGTTCTTAGATTCTACAAAAAGAGAGTTTCCAACCTGCTGAAACTAAAGAAATGTTTAACTCTGTGAGCTGAATCCACACATCACAAAGTGGTTTCACAGATAACTTCTTTCTAGTTTTTATTACAAGATATTCAGTTTTCACTATAGGCTTCAGTGGGCTCAAAAATATCCCTTCCCAGATTTTAGAAAAAGAATGTTTCCAACCCACTGAATGAAAAGAAATGTTTAAGACTGTGAGCTGAATGCAGAGATCACAAAGCAATTTCAAAGATAGCTTATTCCCAGAGTTTTCTCTTTATATTTGGTTTTTAACTATATGCCTAGTGGGCTTTGAAATGTACTTTCACAGATGCAACAAAAACAGTGTTTCCAATTTGCTGAATCAAAAGAAAGATTTAACTTTGTGAGATTAATCCACACATTACAAAGCAGTTTCACAGACAGATTTTTTTTTTTTTTTTAGTTTTTATTGTGAAATTTTCTGTTTTCGTAATAGGCCTCAGAGGGTTGAGAAAAGGCCCTTTACAGATCCTACAAAAGGAGTGTTTATAACCTACTGAATCAAAAGAAAGATTTAACTTTGTGAGATGAATCCACACATCACAAAGCAGTTTCACAGATAGCTTATTTCTAGCTTTTATCTGGGGTTATTCAGTTTGTCACTGTAGGCCTCAATGTACTCCCAAATGTCTCTTCACTGATGCTACCAAAAGGCTGTTTCCATCCTGCTGAATAAAAAAAAAAATGTTTAAAGTCTGTGAGTAAAATCCAGACATAACAAAGCAGTTACACAAATAGCTTCTTTCTAGTATTTATCTGGGGATATTTGGTTTTTATACATAGACCAAAATGGGCTCCCAAATGTCCCTTTGCAGATTCTACAAAAGAAGTGTTTCGAACCTGATGAATCAAAAGAAAGGTTTAATTCTGTGAGATGAATCCACACATCACAAAACAGTTTTACAGATAGCCTCTTCCTAGTTTTTATCTGGGACTATTCAGTTTTTCCCCTTAGGTTTCAATGGGCTCCCAAAAGCCCAGTTGCAGATTCTCCAAAAAGACTGTTTCCAACCTGATGAATCAAAAGAAAGGTTTACCTCTGTGAGATGAATCCAAACATCACAAAACAGTTTTACAGATAGCTTTTTTCTAGTTTTCATCAGAGGATATTCCATTTGTCTGAATAGGCATCAATAGGCTTCCAAATGTCCCTTCACAGATTCTTCAAAAAGAGTTTTCCAACTAGCTGAATCAAAATAAAGGTTTAACACTGTGGGATGAGTCCATACATCACAAAGCAGTTTCACAGATAACTTCTTTCTATTTTAGATCTGAGGATACTCAGTTTGATGCATAGGCTTCAAACTGGCTCCCAAATGCCCTTTGTAGATTCTCCAAAGGAGTGTTTCCAACATACTGAATCAAAAGAAAGTTTTAACTCTGTGAGATGAATGCACAAATGACAAAGTAGTTTGACAGATAGCTTCATTCTAGTTTATGAATGAGAATATTTGGCTTTTCCCCACAGGCCTCAATGGGCTTTAATATGTCCCTTTGTAGATTCTCTAAAATGAGTGTTCCCAACCTGTAGAATCAAAGGTTTAACTCTGTGAGATGAATCCAGATTTCACAAAGCAGTTTCAGAGATAGTTTCTGTCTGTTTTTATCTGAGGATATTAGGTTTTCCTCATATGCCTCAATGGGCTCCAAAATATCCCTTTGCAGATTCTCCAAAGAGTGTTTCCAACCTGCTGAATCAAAAGAACAGTTTAACTCTGTGATATGAATCCACACATAACAAAGCAGTTTCACAGATAGCTTCTATCTAGTTTATGAATGGGGATATTCCTTTTTTCCCCATAGGCTGCAATGGGCTCCCAAATGTCCCTTCACAGATTCTCCAAAAAGAGTGTTTCCAACCTTCTGAATCAAAAGCAAGGATTAACTCTGTGAGATGAATCCACACATAACAAAGCAGTTTCACAGATAGCTGCTTTCTAGTTTTTATCTTGGGATATTTGGGTTTTCTACATAGGCCTCAGTGGGCTCCCAAACATTCCTTCACAATGTCTCCAAAAAGAGTGCTTCCAACCTACTGAATTAAAAGAAAGGTTTAACTCTGTAAGATGAATCCACACATCACAAAGCAGTTTCACAGATAGCTTCTTTCTACTTTTAATATTAGGATATACAGATTTTCCCCATATGCCTCAATGGGCTCTCAAATATCCCTTTGCAGATAGTCCAAAAAGAGTGTTTCCAACCAGCTGAATCAAAAGAATGGTTTATCTCAGTGAGATGAATCCTCACATCACAAAGCAGTTTCACAAATATCTTCTTTCTAGTATTTATCTGAGGATATTTGTTTTTTTCACATAGGACTCAATGGGCTCCTAAATGTCCCTTAGCAGATTCTCCAAAAACAGCATTTCCAACCTGCTGAATCAAAAGAAAGGTTTAACTCTGTGAGATGAATCCATACATCACAAAGCAGTTTCACAGATAGATTCTCTCTAGTTTTTATCTGGGGATACTCGATTTTTCCCAGTAGGCTTCAATGGGCTCTAAAAGGTCCATTTGCAGAATCTCCAAAGATAGAGTTTCCAACCTGCTGAATTAAAAAAAAAAAAAAAAAAAAACTTTCACACTTGACATGAATCCACACATCACAAAGCAGTTTTCCAGACAGCTTCTTTCTAGTTTTTATCTGTGGATATTCTGTTTTTCCTCATCAGCCTCAATGGATTCTGAAATGTCCCTTCACAGATTCTCCAAAAAAAAGCTTTTCCAACCTAACGAATCAGAAGGAAAGTTTAACTCTGTGAGATGAATTCACACATCAGAAAGGAGTTTCACAGATAGCTTCTTTCTAGTTTTTATCTGGGGATATTCTCTTTTTCCTCGTAGGCCTCAATGAGCTCAAAAATGGCCAATTGCAAATTCTATAAAAAAAGTGTTTCCCAACCTGCTGAATCAAAAGAAAGGTTTAGCTCTTTGTGATGAGACCACACATCACAAAGCAATTTCACAGATAGCTTCTTTCTAGTCTTTATCTGGGAATATTCAGTTTTTCCCCATAGGCCTCAATGGACTCTGAAACGTCCCTCTACAGATTTTCAATAAGGATGTTTCCAACCTGCTGAATTAAAAAAAAAGGTTTAACTCTGTGAGATTAATCCAAATATCAAAAAGCAGATTCACAGATAGCTTCTTTATAGTTTTTATCTGGGGATATTCAGTTTTCCCCCATTGGCATCAATGGGCTTTCAAATGTCCCTTCACAGCTTCTCCAAATAAAATGTTTCCAACCTGCTTTATCAAAAGAAAGATATACCTCTATGAGATGAATCCACACACTACAAAGGAGTTTCACAGATAGCTTCTTTCTAGTTTTTATCTGGGGATATTCATTTTTTCTCAACCGGCCTCAATGGGCTCCCAAATGTCCCCTCACAGATTGTACAAAAACAGTGTTTCCAACCTGTTGAATCAATAGAAAGGTTTACCTGTGTGAGATGAATCCACTCATCACAAAGCAGTTTCACAGATATATTCTTTGTACTTTTTATCTGGGGATATTCTGTTTTTCCTCTTAGGCCTCAATGGGCTTCCAAATATACCTTCACCTATTCTCCAAAAGGAGTGTTTCCAACCTGCTGAATCAAAAGAAAGTTTTAAATCTTGATGATGAATCCACACAGCACAAAGCAGTTTCACAGATAACTTCTTTCTAGTTTTTATCCGGGAATATTCAGTTTTCCCCCTTAGGCTTCAATGGGCTCCCAAATGTCCAGTTGCATATTCTCCAAAAAGAGTGTTTCCAACATGATGAGTCAAAAGGATGGTTTATTTCTGTGTGAAGAATCCACACATCACAAAACAGTTTCACAGATAGCTTCTTTCTAGTTTTTATCAAGGGATATTCCATTTTTTCAAACAGGACTCAATACACTACAAAATTTCCCTTCACAGATTCTCCCCAAATAGATTTCCAACCCACTGAATCAAAAGAAAGGTTTAACACAGTGAGATGAATCCACACATCACAAAGCTTTTTCAAAGAGTTTCTTTCTAGTTTTGATCTGGGGATATTCAATTTGATTCATAGGCCTCAATTGGCCCCCATATGCCCTTTGTAGATTCTCCAAAGAGAGTACTTCAAAATTGCTGAATCAATAGACAGTTTTAACTCTGTGAGATGAATCCACACATGACAAAGCAGTTTTACAGATAGATTCATTCTAGTTTAAGAATGACAATATACAGCTTTTCCCCATAGGGCTACCAAATGGGCTACCAAATGTTCCTTCACAGATTTTCCAAAAGGAGAGCGTCCAATCTGCTGAATCAAAGGTAAGGTTTCATTCTGAGAGACAAAACCAGACATCACAAAGCAGTTTCAGAGATAGCTTCTTTCTAGTTTTTATCTGGATATATTAAATTTTCTCAATAGACCTCAGCGGGTTCCCAAAAGTTCCTTTGCAGATTCTCTAGAAAGAGTGTTTCCAACCTGCTGAATCAAAAGAATCATTTAACTCTGTGAGATGAATCCACCCATCACACAGAAGTTTCACAGGTAGCTGCTTTCTTGTTTTTACCTGGGGATATTCGGTTTTTCCACATAGGCCTCAATGGGCTCCAAAATGTTACTTCACAGATTCACAAAAAAGAGTGTTTCCAACCTGCTGGATCAAAAGAAAGGTTTAACTCTGTGAGATGAATCCACACTTCACTAAGCAGTTTTACCGATAGCGTCTTTCTAGTTTTTATATAAGGATATTCGTTTTTTCTCAAACACCTCAATAGACTCCAAAATTTCACTTTGCAGATACTCCAAAAAGAGTGTTACCAACCTGCTGAATCAAAAGAATGGTTTAACTCCGTGAGATGAATCCACACATCACAAAGCAGTTTTACAAATAGCTTCTTTCTAGTTTTTTTCTGACAATATTCAGTTTTTGCACGTAGCCCTCAATGGGCCCCCAAATGTCCCTTTGCAGATTCTCCAAAAAGAGCATTTTCAACCTTCTGAATCAAAAGACAGGTTTAACTCTGTGAGATGACTCCACATCACAAAGCAGTTTCACCCATAGCTACTTTCTAGTTTTTACCTAGGGATATTCAGTTTTTCCCAATAGGCCTCAGTGGGCTCTAAAATGTCCCTTCACAGAATATCCAAAGAGAGTGTTTCCCAACGTGCTGAATAAAAGAAAGGTTTCACTCTGTGACTGAATCCACATGTCACAAAGCAGTTTCACAGATAGCTTCTTTCTAGTTTTTATTTGGGCATATTCAGTTTTTCCCCTTAGGATTCAATTAGCTCCAAAATGTCCCATCACAGATTCTCCAAAAAGACTGTTTCCAACCTGCCAAATCTAAAGAAACTTTTAACTTTTTGAGCTGAATCCACACATCACAATGCTGTTTCACAGATAGCTTCTGTCTTATTTTTATCTGGGGATATTTAGTTTCTCCCGTAGGCCCCAATGGGCTCCCAAATGTCCCTTTGCAGATTCTCCAGAAAGAGTGTTTCCAACTAGCTAAATCAAAAGAAAGGTTGAAACTTGGGAGATGAATCCACACATTACAAGGCAGTTTCACAGATAGCACCTTTCTAATTTTTACCTGGGGATATTCTGTTTTTCCACATTGGCCCCAATGAGCTCCCAAATGTCCCTTTGTAGATTCTCTAAAAAGAGTGTTTCAACAGGCTGAACCAAAAGAAAAGTTAAACTCTGTGAGATGAATCCATATATTACAAAGCATTTTCAAACATAGTTTCTTTCTAGTATTTATATGGGATATTCTGTTTTACACCATAGAACTCAATGGGCTCCCAAATATGCCTTCACAGATTCCTTAAATAGAGCGATTTCAACCTGCTGAATCAAAAGAAAGGTCTGTCTGTGTGAGAGGAATCCACACATGACAAAGCAGTTTCACATTTAGATGCTTTCTGGTTTTTATCTGGGGCTACTCTGTTTTTCCCCATAGGCCTCAGTGGACTCCCAAATGTCAGCTCTAAGATTCTCCAAAAAGAGTGTTTCCACCTGGTTAATCAAAATAAAGTTTAACTTGTTGAGATTAATGCACACATCACAAAGCACATTCACAGATAGTTTCCTTCCAGGTTTTATCTGGGGATATTCCATTTTTTCTTCATAGGCCTCAATGGGCTTTCAAATGTCCCTTCGCAGATTCTTCAAATAGAGTGTTTCCAACCTGCTGAATAAAAAAAAGTTTTAACTCTAGTAGATGAATCCACACATCAAAAATCAGTATCACAGATAGTTTCTTTCTAGTTTTTATCTGTGGATATTAGGTTTTTCCCCATAGACCTCAATGGGTTCCAAAATGTCCCTTGAGAAATTCTACAAAAAGAGTGTTTCCAACCAGCTGAACCAAGACAAAGGTATAACTCTGTGTGATGAATTCCCACATCACAAAGCAGTTTTACAGATAGCTTCTTTCTAGTTTTTATCTGGGAATATTTGCTTTTTCCCCATAGGCCTAAATGGGCTCCCAAATGTCTCTTTGCAGATTCTACAAAAGGAGTGTTTCTAACCTGCTGAATCAAAAGAAAGTTTCAACTCTGTGTGATGAATCCACACATAACAAAACAGTTTCAAAGATAGCTTCTTTCTAACATTTTTCTGGGGGTATTCCAATTTTCTCCATGGGCATCAATGGGCTCCCAAATTTCCCTTTGCAGATTCTACAAGAAGAGTGTTTCCAACCTGCTGAATTTGAAGAAAAATTTAAGTCTTTGAGATGAAGCCATACATTGCAAGCAGTTTCACAGCTATCTTTTTTCTATTTTTTATTGGGAAGTTTGGTTTTTCCCCATAGTCCTCAATGGGCTGCCAACGTTTCTTTGCAGATTGTACAAAAAGAGCATTTCCAACCTTCTGAATGAAAAGAAAGGTTTATATCTGTGAGGCATATCGACACATAACTAAGCAGTTGCACAGATAGCTTCCTTCTAGTTTTTAATCTGGGGATATTCGTATTTTCCCCATAGGCCAAAATGGGCTCCCAAATGTCCCTTCATAGATTCTCCAAAAAGAATATTTCCAACCTGAAGAATCAAAAGAAAGGTTTAACTCTGTTGGATGAATCCACACATCACAAAACTGTCTCACAAATAGCTTCATTCTTGTTTATATCTGGGGATATTCATTTTTTCACTGTAGACCTCAATGAGTTCCAAAATGTCCATTTGCAGATTCTCTGAAAAGAGTACTTCCAACAGGCTGAATAAAAAGAAAGGTTAAACTCTGCAAGATGAATCCATACATCACAAAGCAGTTTCACAGATATCTTCTTTCTAGTTTTTATGTGGGGATATTCAGTTTTACTCCATAGGCCTCAAAAGGCTCCCAAATGTCCCTTTGCAGATTCTTTAAATAGAGTGTTTTCAACATGCTGAATCAAAAGAAAGGTCTAACTCTGTGAGATGAATCAACACATCACACAGAAGTATCTCAGATAGGTTCTTTCTAATTTTTATGTGGAGATATCCAATCTTCCTCCATAGGCCACAATGGGCTTCAAAATGCCCCCTTGCAGATTTTTCAAAAAGAATATTTCCAACCTGCTGAATCAAAAGAAAGGTTTTACTTGGTGAGGTGAATCTACACATCAGAAAACAGATTCACAGATAGTTTCTCTCTACTTTTTTACTGGAGACATTCCATTTTTCCTTAGAGACCACAGTGGGCTTTTGTCCCTTCACAAAATCTACAAAAAGAGTTTTTACAACCTGCTGAATCAAAAGACAGGTTTAACTCTGTGTGATGAATTCACAAATCACAAAGCAGTATGACAGATAGATTCTTTCTAGCTTTTATCTGTAAATATTCTGTTTTTTTCCCATAAGCCTCAATGGGGTCAGAAATGTCCCTCAGCAGATTCTCTGAAAGGAGTGTCCCTAACCTGCTGTATTAAAAGAAAGGTTTAACTCTGTGAGATGAATCCACACATCACAAAGCAGTCTCACAGATAGCTTGTTTCTAGTTATCTGGGGATATTTTGTTTTTCCCAATATGACTCAGTGTGCTCCTAAATGTTGCTTCTCAGATTCTCCAAAAACAGTGTTTCCAATGTGGCAAATCAAAAGAAGATTTATGTCTGTGAGATAAATCCACGCATCACAAAGAAATTTCATAGATAGCTTCTTCCTAGTTTTTATCTGGGGATATTCTGTGCTTCCCCAAGGGCCTAAAAGGGCTCCCAAATTTCCCCTCACAGATTCTATAAAAAGAGTGTTTCCAACCCGTTGAATTAAAAGAAAAGTTTAACTCTGTGACATGAATCCACACATTGCAAAGCAGATTGACAGATATCTTCTTTCTTTTTTTATTGGTTATAATATTTTTTTCTCCATAGGCCTCAATGGGCTCCACATGTCTCATCACAGATGGAACAAAAAGAGTTTTTCTAACCTGCTGAATAAAAAGAAAGGTTTAACTCTGTGAGATGAATCCACACATTACTAAACAGTTGCACAGATAGCTTTCCTCTACTTTTTATATGGGGATATTAGTTTTTTTTTCCATAGGCCTCAATGGGCTCCCAAATGTTCCTTTGCAGATTCTACAAAAAGAGTGTTTCCAACCTGTTGAGTCAAAAGAAAGTTTCAACTCTGTATGAGGAATCCACATATAACAAAGCAGGCTCACAGGTAGCTTCTTTCTAGTTTTCATCTGGGGATATTCCTTTGTTTCCCAAGGGCCTCAATGGGCTCCCACATTTCTTCCCTCAGATTATATAAAAAGAGTGATTCCCACCTGCTGAATCAAAAGAAAAGTTTAACTCTGTGAGATGAATCCATACATCACAAAGCAGTTTCACAGATATCTTCTTTCTACTCTTTATTGGGGATATTCTGTTTTTCCCCTTGGGCCTCGGTGGGCTCCAAATATTCCTTTGCAGATTGTACAAAAAGAGTGTTTCCAAGCCTGCTGAATCAAAGGAAATATTTAACACTATGAGATGAATCCACACATAACTAAGCAGTTGTGCAGATGGCTTCCTTCCACTTTTTAACTGGGGATATTTCGTTTTTCCCCATAGGCCACAATGGGCTCCCAATGTCCCTTTATGGTTTCTACAAAAAGAGTGTTTCCAACTTGGTGAGTGAAAAGAAATCTTTACCTCTATGAGATGAATCCACACATAATGAATCAGTTTCTCAGATAGTTTCTTTCTAGTTTTTATATGGGGATATTCGTTTTTTCCTGATAGTCCTCCAAAGGCTCCTAAATGTACCTTCGCAGATTCTACAAAAATAGTGTCTCCAAAATGTTGAATCAAAAGAAGGGTTTAACTCTGTGAGGTGAATCCACACATCACAAAGCAGTTACACAGATAGTTTCTTACTAGTTTTTAACTGGAGATACTTTGCTTTTCCCTATGGGCCTCAATAGGCTCCAAAATGTTTCTTCATAGATTCTCCAAAAAGGGTGTTTCCAATCTGCTGAATTAAAAAAAAAAGTTTAACTCTGCAGGAGGAATCACAAATCACAAAGCAATTTTACAGATAGGTTCTTTCTAATTTTTATCTGAAGATATTCAGTTTTTTTCCTGATGCTTCAATGGGCTCCCAAATGTCTTTTTGCAGATTCTACAAAAATAGTTTTTCCAACCTGCTGAATCAAAAGAAAGGTTTAACTCTTTGTGATGAATCCACACATCGCAAAGCAGTTTCAAAGAAAGCTTCTTTCTAGTTTTTTTCAGAAGATATTCAGTATTTCCAGATAGGCAACAATGGGCTCCCAAATGTTTCTTTGCAGATTCTCCAAAAAGAGGGTTTCCAACCTCCTGAATCAAAAGAAAGTTTTAAGTCTTTTTGAGATGAATCCTCACAAACAAAGGAGTTTCACAGAGGGCTTCTTTCTAGATTTTATCTGTTGATATTTGGTTTTCCCCATAGAACTCAAAGGCCTCTTAAATGTCCCTTTGCAGATTCTCCAAAAAGAGGTTTCCAACCTGCTGAATCAAAAGAAAGTTTTAAATCTGTGAGGTGAATCCACACATCACAAAGCAGTTACACAGAGAATATTTTTCTTGTTTTCATCTGGAGATATTTGGTTATTCCCAATTGGCCTCAATGGGCTCCCAAATGTTTCTTCACAGATTCTTCAAAAAGAGTGTTTCCAAACTGCTGAAGAAAAAAAAAAAAAGTTTAACTCTGTGAGGGGAATCCACAGATATCAAAGCAGTATCACACATAGCTTCTTTCTGGTTTACCTGGAAATATTCATTTTTTCCTAATAGGCCTCAATAGGCTCCAAAGTGTTTCTTTGCAGATTCTTCAAAAAGAGTGTTTCCAACCTGCTGAATCAAAAAAAGTTTAACTCTGTGAGATGAATCAACAAATCACAATGTAGTTTCAAAGATAGCTTCTATTTAGTTTTTTTTCTGGAAATATTCAGTTTTTCCCCATAGGTCTCAATGGGCTCCCAAATACCTCTTTGCAGGTCCTGCAATAAGAGGGTTTCCAACCTGCTGGATCAAAAGAACGGTTTAACTCTGTGAAATGAACCCTCACATAACAAAGGAGTTTCACAGATAGCTTCTTTCTACTTTTCATCAGGGGTTATTGGGTTTTTCTTCTTAGGACAAAATGGGCTCCCAAATGTACCTTCACAGTATCTCCAAATAGAGTATTTCAAACCTGCTTAATCAAAGAAAGGTTTAACTCTGTTAGATGAATCCACACACCACAAAGCAGTTTCACAAATAGTGTTTTTCTACTTTTTATCTGAAGATATTCAGTTTTTCCACATAACCCTGAAAGGTCACCCAAATGTCCCTTGGCAGATTACACAAGAAGAGTTTTTCCAACCTGCTGAATAAAAAGAAAGGTTTAACTCAGTGAGATGAATCCACACATCACAAAGCAGTTTCACAGATAGCTTCTTTCTAGTTTTTATATGGGGATATTCTGTTTTCCCCCATAGGCCTAAATGGGTTTTCAAGTGTCCCTTCACAGATTCTACAAAAATATTTGAAGGGGTGACCTTTTCCTCCACACCTGTGGACATATCTCCTCAGGTGGGATGAGAGACTAGGAAAAGAAATAAGACACAGAGACAACGTACAGAGAAACAACAGTGGGCCCAGGAGACTGACACTCAGCATACCAAGGACCTGCACTAGCACCGGTCTCTGAGTTCCTTCAGTTTTTATTGATTATTATTTTCATTTTCTCAGCAAGAGGAATGTGGTAGGAGAGCAGGGTGATAATAAGGAGAAGGTCAGCAAAAAAAATCTGAGCAAAAGAATCTATGTCATAATTGAGTTCAAGGGGAGGTACTATGCGTGGATGTGCACATAGGTCAGATTTATGTTTCTCTCAGCCCAAACATCTCAGTGGAGTGAAGAATAACAAGGCAGCATTGCTGCCACTATGTCTCGCCTCCCACCATAGGGTAGCTTTTCTCCTATCTCAGAATTGAACAAATGTACAATCGGGTTTTATACTGAGACATTCAGTTCCTAGGGGCAGGCAGGAGAGAGTGACCATCCTCTATCTCAACTGCAAGAGGCTTTTCTCTTTTATTAATCCATCTCAGCACAGACCCCATACAGGTGTTGAGCTGGGGGATAGTCAGGTCTTTCTCATCCCAAGAGGCCATATTTAAGACTATCACATGGGGAGAAACCTGGGACAATACCCAGCTTTCCAAGGCTGAGGTCCCTGTGGCTTTTCACAGTACATTGTGCCCCTGGTTTATTGAGACTAGAGAATGACAATGACTTTTATCAAACATAATGCTTGTAAACGTTTTGTTAACAAGGCATGTCCTGCACAGACCTAGATCCCTTAAGCCTTGATTCCATACAACACATGTTTTTGTGAGCTCAAATTTGGGGCAAAGTGGCTGGGGCAAAGTGACTGGGGCAAAGTTACAAATTAACAGCATATCAGCCAAGCAATTTTTCAAAGTACAGGTCAAAATAGAATTTCTTATGTCTTCCCTTTCTACATAGACACAGTAACAGTCTGATCTCTCTTTCTTCTCCTTTCAACATTGTTTCCAACCTGCTGAATCAAAAAAAGGTTTAACTCTGTGAGATGAATCCACACATCACAAAGCAGTTTCACAGATAGCTTCTTGCTAGTTTTTATCTGAGGATAGACATCCTTTTTTTCCCCATAAGCCTCAATGGACTCCCAAATGTTGCTTCACTGATTCTACAAAAAGAGTGTTTCCAAACTGCTGAATAAAAAGAAAGTTTTAACCTGTGAGATGAACCCACATATAACAAGGCAGTTTCACAGACAGCTTGTTTCTAGCTTTTATCTGAGGATATTTGGTTTTCCCCCATGGACCTCAATGGGCTCCCAAATGTCCCTTCACATATTCTACAAAAAGAGTGTTTCCAACCTGCTGAATCAAAAGAAACTTTTAACTCTGTTGGATGAATCCACACAAAACAAAGCAGTTTCTCAGATAGCTTCTTTCTAGTTTTTATCTGGGGTATTCACTTTTTCCTCATAGGAATCAATATGCTCTTAAGTTTCCCTTCACATATTCCCTAAAAAGAGTGTTTCCAACCTGCTGAATCAAAAGAAAGTTTTAACTCTGTGAGGTGAATGCACACATCACAAAGGGGTTACACAGATCACTTCTTACTAGTTTTTAACAGGAGATATTCTGCTTTTCCCCATAGGCCTCAATAGGCTCCCCAGTGATTCTTTGCAGATTCTTCAAAAAGGGTGTTTCCAGTCTGCTGAAAAACAAAAAAGTTTAACTCTGTGGGATGAATCCACACACCACAAAGCAGTTTCACAGATAGGTTCTTTCTGGTTTTTATCTGAAGATATTCAGGTTTTTTCTTTATGCCTCAAGGGGCTCCCAAATGTCCCTTTGCAAATCCTACAAAAAGAGTGTTTCCAACCTGCTGAATCAAAAGAAAGGTTTAACTCATTGTGATGAATCCACACATCACAAAGCAATTTCACAGATAGGGTCTTTCTAGTTTTTATCAGGGGATATTCTGTTTTTTCCCTTAGGCCTCAATGGGCTCCAAAATATCCCTTTGCAGATGATACAAAAAGAGTGTATCCAACCTGCTGAATCAAAATAAAAGTTTAACTCTGTGAGATGAAACCACACATCATAAAGCAGTTTTACAGATAGCTTCTTTCTAGATGTATCAAGGAATATTAAGTTTTACTCCATAGGCCTCAATGGGCTACCAAATGTCTCTTCACAGATTCTACAAAGAGTGTTTTCAACCTGCTGAATGAAAAGAAAGGTTTAACTCTGAGATGAATCCAAATATCACAAAGCAGTTTCACAGATAGCTTCTGTCTCGTTTTTATCTGAAGATATTCCATTTCTTTCAATAGGCCTCACTGGGCTCCTAAATGTCCCTTCACAGACCCATCAGAAAAAGTATTTCCAACCTGTTGAATCAAAAGAAAGTTTAGCAATGTGAGATGAATCTACACATCACAAAGCAGATTTACAGATAGCATCTTTCTAGTTTTTATCTGGAGATATTCATTTTTTTAATGTAGGCTTCAATGGCCTCCAAATGTCCATTCATAAATTCTCCAAATAGGGTATACCCAACCTGCTTAATCAAAAGAAAGTTTTTACTCTGTGAGATGAATCCACACATCACAAAGCAATTTCGCAGATAGCTCCTTCTAGTTTTCATCTGGGGATTTTCGGTTTTTCTCCATAAGCCTCCATGGGATCCCAAATGTCCCTTTGTACATTCTCCAAAATAATTGTTTCCAAACTGCTGAATGAAAAGGAAGGTTTAACTCTGTTAGATGAATCTTCACATCCCAAAGCAGTTTCACAAATAGCCCCTTTCTAGTTTATATCTAGGGATATTCAGTCTTTCCCCAAAGGCCTGGATGGGTCCCAAATATCCCTTCACAGATTCTACAGTGTTTCAAACCTGCAGAATGAAAATAAGTCTTTAACTCTATGAGATGCATCCTCACACATCAAAGCAGTTTCAGAGATAGCTTCTTTCTAGTTTTTACTTGGGGGTATTCTGTTTTTCCACATAGGCCACAATGGGTACCCAAATGTCCCTTTGCAGATTATCCCAGCAGAGTGTTTCCAACCTGCTGAATCAAAGGAAAGGTTTAACCCTGTGAGATGAATCCACACATCACAAAGCAGTTTCACAGTTAGCTTTTTTCAAGTTTTTATTTGGGGATATTCAGTTTTTTCCCAGAGGCTTCAATGGGCTCCTAATATCCCTTTGCAGATTTTTGAAATAAAGTTTTCCAACCTGCTGAGTCAAAAGAAAGGTTTAACTCTTTGAGATGAATCCACACATCACAAAGCAGTTTCACAGATAGCTTCTTTCTAGCTTTTATTGGGGTATTTGGTTTTCCTGATAGGTCTAAGTGGGCATCAAATTGTCCCTTCACATATACTCTAAAAAGAGTTTCCAACCTGCTGAATCAAAAGAAAGCTTTAATCCGTGAGATGAATCCACACATCACAAAGAAGTTTCACAGATAGCTTCTGTCTAATTTTCATCTGGAGATATTTGGTATTTCCAGATAGGCAGCAACGGGCTTCCAAATGTTTCTTCGCAGATTCTCCAAAAAGAGTGTTTCCAACGTCCTGAGTCAAAAGAAAATTTTAACTCGTTATGTAAATCCTCACAAACAAAACAGTTTAACAGATATCTTCTTTCTAGTTTTTATCTGGGGATATTTGGTTTTCCCCATAGGCCTCAATGGGCTCTTAACTGTCTCTTCGCAGAACATGCAAAAACAGGGTTTCCCACATGCTGAATCAAAAGAAAGGTTTAACTCTGTGAGGTGAATCCACACATCACAAAGCAGTTGCACAGATAATTTCTTTCTTGTTTTTATCTGGAGATATTCTGTTATTCCCCATAGGTCTCAATGGGCTCCCAACCTTTCCTCACAGATTCTTCAAAAAGAGTACTTCCAACCTGCTGAATCAAAAAAAATGGTTTAACCCTGTAAGAGGAATCCACAGATCACAAAGCAGTATCACAGATAGCTTCTGTCCAGTTTACCTGGAAATATTCAGTTTTCCTAATAGGCTGCAATAGGCTCCGAAGGGTTTCTTCACAGATACTTCAAAAAGAGTGATTCCAAACTGCTGAATCACAAAAAGTTTAACTCTGTGAGATGAATCCACACATCACAAAGTAGTTTCAAAGATAAGTTCTATCTACTTTTTTTTCTGGAAATATTTGGTTTTTCCCCATAGGTCTCAATGGGCTCCCAAATGTCTTTTTGCAGATTCTCCAAAAATAATGTTTCCAACCTGCTGAATCAAAAGAATGGTTTAAATCTGTGAGATGAACCCACACATAATAACGGAGTTTCACAGATAGCTTCTTTCTAATTTTCATCTGGGGATATTCTGTTTTTCTTCATAGGACAAAATGGGCTCCCAAATGTACCTTTACAGATTCTCCAAAAAGAGTGTTTCCAACTTGCTGAATCCAACAAAAGGCTTAACTCAGTTAGATGAATCCACACATCACAAAGCAGTTTCACGGATAGCTTCTTTCTAGTTTTTATCTAGGGTATTCAGGCTTCCCTATTGGCCTCAATATGCTCCCAAATGTCCCTTCACAGATCCTTCAAATAGAGTATTTACATCCTGCGTAATCCAAGAAAAGTTTAACTCTGTTAGATGAATCCACATATCACAAAGTAGTTTCACCAATAGATTTTTCTAGTTTTTATTTGGGGATATTCAGTTTTTCCAAATAGCCCTGAAAGGCCTCCCAAATGTCCCCTTGCAGATTGTAAAAGAAGAGTGATTCCAACATGCTTAATCAAAAGAAAGGTTTGACCCAGTGAGATGAATCCACACATCACAAAGCAGATAGGTTCTTTCTACTTTTTGTATGGGGATATTGTGTTTTCTCCCATAGGCCTGAATGGGCTTTCAAATGTCCCTTCACATATTCTACAAAAACATTGTTTCCAAACTGCTGAATTGAAAGAAAGGTTTAACTCTGTGAGATGAATCCACACGTCACAAAGCAGTTTCACAGATAGCTTCTTACTAGTTTTTATCTGGGGATATTCCTTTTTTTTCCATAAGCCTCAATGCGTTCCCAAGCGTCCCTTCACGGATTTTATAAAAAGAGTGGTTCCAAACAGCTGATTAAAAAGAAAGTTTTAACTGTGTGAGATGAATCCACACATAACAAAGCAGTTTCATAGATTGCTTGTTTCTAGCTTTTATCTGGGGATATTTGGTTTTTCCTCATAAGCCTCAATGAGCTCCCAAATATCTCTCCACAGATTCTCCAAAAAGAGTGTTTCCAACTGGTGGATTGAAAAGAAAGTTTTAACACTGTGAGATGATCCACATATCACAAAGCAATTTCACAGATAGCTTCTTTCTAGTTTTTACTGGGGATATTTTGTGTCTCTACATAGGCCAAAATGGTCTCCAAAATGTCCCTTTGCAGATTATCCAAAAAGAGTGTTTCCAAACTGCTGAAGCAAAAGAAATATTTAACTCTGTGAGATGAATCAATACATCACAAAGCAATTTCAAAGATAGATTCTTTCCAGTTTTTACCTTGGAATATTCAGTTTTTCCCATGGGCCTCAATGGGCTCCCTAATGTCGTTTCACATATTCTACTAAAAGAGTGTTTCTAACTTGCTGAATCAAAAACAAAGTTTAACACCTGAGATGATCCACATGTCACAGAGCAGTTTCACAGATAGCTTCTTTCTAGTTTTTATCTGGGGATATTCTGTTTTTCCCCAAAGGCCAAAATGTGCTCTTAAATGTCCCTTTGCAGATGCTCAAATTACAGTTTTTATAAATTGCTGAATCAAAAGAAAGGTTTAACTCTGTGAGGTGAATCCAACATCACAAAGCTGTTTCACAGATAGCTTCTATCTAGTTTTTTCAGGACATATACTATTTTTCCCATAGGTCTCAATGACCTCCCAAATGTCCCTTTGCAAATTCTCCAAAAAGAGTGCTTCTAATCTGCTGAATGAAAAAAAACTTTAACTCTGTGAGATGAATCCACACATCAGAAAGCAGTTTCACACATAGCTTCTTTCTAGTTTTTATCTGGTGATATTCCATTTTTCTTATAGGATTCAATGGGCTCCCAAATATCCCTTTGCAGATTCTACAAAGAGTGTTTCCAACTGACTGATTCAAAAGAATGTTTTAACTTTCTGAGATTAATCCACACATCACAAAGCAGTTGCACAGACAGATTCTTTCTAGTTTCTATTTGGGCATATACAGATTTCCTGCTATGCCTAAATGGGCTCCCAAATGCCCCTTCACAGATTCTCCAAAAATAGTGTATCCAACCTGCTGAGTCAAAAGAAAGGCTGAAATCTGTCAGATGAATCCACACATCACAAAGCAGATTCACTGATAGCTTCTTTCTAGTTTATATCTGGGTATATTCAGTTTTTCTCCATAGCCTCAATGGGCTGCAAAATGTCCCTTAGCAGATTCTCCAAAGAGAGTATTTTCAACATGCTGCATCAAAGGAAAACTTTAAACCTGTGAGATGAATCCACACATCACAAAGCAGTTTCACAGATAGCTTCTTCCTAGTTTTTACCTGGGGATATTTGTTTTTTCTCCTTAGGCCTCAATGTACTCCAAAATATCCCTTCACACAGTCTCAATAAAGGTGTTTCCAACCTGCTGTATCAAAAGAAAGGTTTATCTCTGTGAGATGAATCCAAACATCAGAAAGCAATTTCACTGATAGCTTCTTTCCAGTTTTTATCTGGGGATATTCAGTTTTTCCCCATAGGTTTCAATGGACCACCAAAATATTGCTTCACAGACTCTACTAAAAAAGTGTTTCCAACCTGCTGAATAAAAAAATGATTTAACTCTGTTAGATGAATCCACACATCCCAAAGTGGTAACAAAGATAATTTCTTTCTAATTTTTATCTGGAGATGTTCGTTTTTTCCCCATAGGCCTCAATGGACTCCCAAATGTCACTTCGAAGATCCTCCAAAAAGAGTGCTTCCAACCTGCTGAATTAAAAGGAAGCTTTAACTCTGTGAGATGAATCCACACATCACAAAGTAGTTTCACAGATGGCTTCTTTCTAGTTTTTATCTGGGGATATTCCATTTTTCCCTATAGTCCTCAAAGGGCTCCCAAATGTCCCTTTGCTGATTTTCCAAAAACAGTGTTTCCAACCTGCTGAATCAAAAGAAAGGTTTAACTCTGTGAGATGAATTCACACATCACAAACAGTTCACAGAAAGCTTCTTTCTAGTTCCCATCAGGGAATATTCAGTTTTTCCTCATAGGCATCAATGGGCTCCCAAATGTCTTTTCACAATCTCCAAATACAGTGTTTCCAACCTGCTGAAACAAGAGAAAGGTTTGGCTCTGTGAGATGAATCCACACATCACAAAGCAGATTCACAGATAGCTTCTTTCTAGTTTTTATCTGGAGATATTGAGTTTTTCCCATAGGCCACAATGGGCTCCCAAATGTTCTTTTGCAGATTCTCAAAAAAGAGTGTTTCCAAACTGCTGAATTAAAAGAAGGGTTTAACTCTGATAATTGAATCCACAAATCACAAAGTGATTACATGGACAGTTTCTTTCTAGTTTTTATCTGGAGATACTCGGTTTTTCCCCATAGGCCACATTGGGCTCTCAAATGTCCCCTCACAGTTTCTCCAATAAAAGTGTTTCCAACCTGCTGAATCAAAAACAATGTCAAAATCTGTGAGATAAATCCACAAATCGCAATGCAGTTTCACAGGTAGCTTTTGTCTAGTTTTTGTCTGAAGATATTTGGTTTTTCCCCATAGGCTTCAATGGGCTCCCAAATATCCCTTCACAGATTCTTCAAAAAGAGTGTTTCAACCTGCTGAATTAAAATAAAAATTTAACTCTGTGAGATGAATCTACACATTGCAAAACAGATTCACAGATGGTTTCTTTCTAGTTTTCATATGGGGATATTCTGTTTCTCCCCATAGGCCTCAATGGGCTTTAAAATGTCCCTTCACAGATTCTCCAAATAGAGTGTTTTCAACCTGTTGTATCAAAAGAAAGGTTTAGCTCTGTGAGATGAATCTGCACATTGCAAAGCAGTTTCACAGATAGCTTCTTTCTAGTTTTTACCTGGGGATATTCTGTTTTTCCCCTTGGGCACCAATGGGCTCCCAAATGTCCCTTCATAGATTTTCCAAGAAATGTTTTTCCAAATGTCCCTTTGTAGATTCTTCAAAAACAGTGTTTCAAAACAGCTGAATCAAAAGAAAAGTTTAATTCTTTGAGATGAACCCACATATCACAAAGCAGTTTCACAGAGAGCTTCTTTCTGGTTTTTATCTAGGGATATTTGCTTTTTCTCCTTATGCCTGAATGAGCTCCTAGATGTCCCTTCACAGATTCTACAAAAACAATGTTTCCAAACTGCAGAATCAAAAGAAAGGTTTAACTCTGTGAGATGTATCAACATATCATAAAGCAGTTTCACAGGTAGCTTCTTTCTAGTTTACCTGGATATATTCAGTTTTTTTCCAATAGGTCTCAATGGGCTCTTAAATGTCTCTTCACAGAATCTACCAAAAGAGTGTTTAAAACATGCTGAATCAAAAGAAAGTTTTAATTCTGTGAGATGAATGCATACCTCACAAAGCCATTTCACAGATAGCTTCTTTAAACTTTTTTTTCTGGGGTATTCTGTTTTTATACATAGGCCCCAATGGGCTCCCAAATATATCTTCACAGATTCTCCAAAAAAGATTGTTTCCAAAGTGCTGAATGAAAGGCAGTGTAATTCTGTGAGATGAATCTGCACATCACAAAGCAGTTGCACAGATAGCTTCTTTCTAGTTTTTATCTGGGGATATTCTGTTTTCTCCCTTTTTCCTCAATGGGTTCAAAAATGTCACTTCGAGGATTCTCCAAAAAGAGTTTTCCCAACCTGCTGAATCAGAAGAAAGATTTAACTCTGTGAGATGAATCCACAAATCACAAAGCAGTTTCACAGATAGTTTCTTTCCACTTTTTATCTGGGGATATTTTGTTTATCTCCAAAGGCCTCAATGGACTCCCAAATATCTCTTCACTGATTCTTAAAAATAGTGTTTCCAACCTGCTGAATCAAAAGAAAGATTTAACTCTGTGAGATGAATCCACACATCAAAGGGCAGATTCACTGATAGCTTCTTTCTAGTTTTTATCTTGGGATATTTGGTTTTTCCCCATTTGCCTCAAAGGACTTTCAAATGTCCCTTTGCAGATTCTCCAAATAAAGTGTTTTCAACCTGCTGAAACAAAAGTAAGGTATAACTGTATGGATGAATCCACATATCACAAAGCAGTTTCACAGATATCATCTTTCTAGTTTTTACCTGGGGATATTCTGTTTATCTCTGAAGACCTCAATGGGCTTCCAAATATCTCTTCAATGACTGTTAAAAATAGGGTTTCCAATCTGCTGAATGAAAAGAAAGATTTAACTTTGTGAGATGAATCCACACATCAAAAAGCATGTTCACTGATAACTTCTTTCTAGTTTTTATCTGGGGATGTTTTGTTTTCCCCCATTTGCCTCAATGGGCTTTCAAAAGTCCCCCCACAGATTCTCCAAATACAGTGTTTTCAACCTGCAGAACCAAAAGAAAGTTGTAACTCTGTGTATGAATCTACACATCACAAAGCATTTTCACAGATATCATCTTTCTAGTTTTTATCTCGGGATATTCAGTTTTTCCCCATAGCCCTCAAGGGGCTCTCAAATGTCCCTTCACAGATTCTACAAAAAGATTATTTCCAACCTGCTGAATCAAAGGAAAGTTTTAGCTCTGTGAGATGAATAAACACATCAGAAAGCAGTTTCTCCGATAGTTTATTTCTAGATTTTAACTGGTGATATTCGGTTTTTCTCCATAGGACACAATGGGCTCTGAAACAATGCTTTGCATTTCTACAAAAAGAGTGTTTCAACTTGCTGAATCAATAAAAAGTTTTAACTCTGTGAGATGAATCCACACATCACAAAGTAGTTTCACCAATAGCTTCTTTCTAGTTTTTATCTGAGGATATTCAGTTTTTTTCCTTAGGCCTCAATGGGATCTGAAATGTTTCTTCACAGATTCTCCAATAAGAGGATTTCCAACCTACTTAGTCAATATAAAGTTTTATCTCTGTGAAATGAATCCACCCATCACAAAGCAGCTTCACAGATAGCTTCTTTCTAGTGTTTAGCTGGGGATAGTCTGTTTTTCTTCACAGGCCTCAATGGGATCCCAAGTGTTTCTTTACCAATTCTCCAAAAAGAGGGCTCCCAACCTGATGAATTAAAAGAAAGGTTTAACTCTGTGAGATGCATCCACATATCACAAAGTAGATTCACAGATAGCTTCTTTCTAGTTTTTATCTATGGATGTTGTGTTTTATCACAGAGGCATCAGTTAGCTCCCAATGTCCCTTTGCAGATTCTTGAAATATTGTGTTTTCAAACTGCTGAATCAAAAGAAAGATTTAACTCTGTGAGATGAATCCACGCATCACAAAGCAGTTTCACAGATAGCTTCTTTCTAGTTTATATCTGGGGATATTCAGTTTTTCCCCATAGACCTCATTAGGATCCCAAATGTCTGTTCTAACTTTCTCCAAATAGAGTGTTTTCAACTGGTGAATCAATAGAAAGGTTTAACTCTGTGTTGAATCCACATATCACACAGAAGTTTCACAGAGAGCTTCTTTCTAGTTTTTATCTGGGAATATTCTCTTTCTCTCCAAGAGCTCAATGGGCTTGCAAATTTCCCTTTGTAGATTCTCTGAAAAGAGTGTTTCTAAGCTGCTGAATCAAAAGAAGGCTTTAAGTCTGTGAGATGAATCCACACATGACAAAGCAGTCTCACAGAAAGCTTTTTTATAGTTTTTATCTTGGGATATTCAGTTTTTCCCCTTAGGCTTCAATGGGATCGCAAATGGCCCTTTGCAGATCCTCCAAAAAGAGGGTTTCCAACCTGCAGAATCAAAAGAAAGGTCTCACTCTGTGACATGAATCCACACATCACAAAGCAGTTTCACAGATAGCTTCTCTCTAATTTTTATCTGGGGATATTTTGTTTTTCTCCATAGGCCTCAATGGGCTCCCAAATGTCCCCTCGTGTATTCTCCAGAAAGAGTGTTTCCAACCTGTTGAATCAAAGGGAACTCTGTGAGATGAATCCACACATCACAAAGCAGTTTCACAGCAAGCATCTTTCTAGTTTCTACCTGTGGCTATTCTGTTTTTCCACATAGGCTGCAAATGGATCCCAAATGTCTTTCACAAATTGTCCAGAGTGTTTTTAACCTGCTTAATCAAAACAGTGGCTTAACTGTGTGAGATGATTCTACACATGACATGGCAGTTTCACAGATAGCTTATTTGTACTTTTTACCTGAGGACATTCTGTTTTTCACCAAAGGCCACAGTGGGCTCCCAAATGTCCCCTCATGGATTCTCCATAAAGAGTTTTTCCAACCAGCTGGATCAAAAGAAAGGGTTACCTCTGTGAGATGAATCCACACATGACAAAGCAGTTTCATAGATTGCTCCTTTCTAGTTTTTACCTGCAGATATGTATACATATATTTATATATATTTTTTTTCCTATGGGACTGAATGATCTCCCAAATGTCCTTTTGCTGAATCTCCAAAAAGAGTGTTTCTAACCTGCTGTTTCAAAAGAAAAGTTTAACTCAGTGAGATGAATCCACACATCAGAAAGCAGTTTCACAGATGGCTTCTTTCTAGGTTTTACCTGGGGATATTCAGTTTTTTTAAATGGGCTGCAGTGGAATCCCAAATGTCCCTTCGCAGATTCTCCAAAAAGGCTGTTTCTAACCTGCTGAATCAAAAGAAAGTTTTAACTCTGTGATATAAATCCACACATAACAAAGCAATTTTTATGGACAGCTTCTTTTCAGTTTTTACCTGAGGATATTTGACTTTTCTCCTTAGGCCTCAGTGGGTTCCCAAATGTCCCATCACAGATTCTTCAAAAAGAGAGTTTCCAACTTGCTGAATCAAAAGGAAGTTTTATCTCTGTGAGATGAATCCACACATCACAAAGCAGTTTAACAGATACATTCTTTCTAGTTTTTACTTGGGGATATTCTGTTTTTCCCCGTAGCCCTCCTTAGGCTCTGAATTGTCTCTTCACAGATTCTCCAAAAACAGTGTGTCCAACCTGTTGAATCAAAAGAAATGTTTAATTCTGTGAGATTAATCCACACATCAAAAAGCAGTTTCACAATTAGCTTTTTTCTAGATTTTACCTGGGGATATTCAGTTATTCCCCATGGGACTACATGGGCTCCTAAATGTCACTTCACAGATTGTACAAAAAGGTTGTGTCAAATGTGCTGAATCAAAAGAAAGGCTTAACTCTTTGAGATAAATGCACAAATCACAAAGCGGTTTCTCAGAATGCCTCTTTCCCGTTTTTCTCTGAAGACATTTCCTTTCTCACCATAGGCCTCAATGAGCTACAAAATATCCCTTCGCAGATTCTACAAAAACAGTGTTTCCAAACTGCCCCATCAAAAGAAAGGTTTAAGTGTTTGAGATGAATGCACACAACACAAAGCATGTTCTCAAAAAGCTTCTTTCTAGTTTCTATATGAAGATATATCCTTTTTCAGCATAGTCCCCAATGCTCTCCCAAATATCCCTTCACAGATTCTACAAAAACAGTTTCCAAACTGCTCAACCAAAAGAAAGGTTTGAGTCTGTGAGATGAATGCACACATCACAAAGCAGTTTCTCAGAAAGTTTCTTTCTTATTTTTCCCTGAAGTTATTTCCTTCTTCACCATAGGCTTTAATGCACTCCCACATATCCCTTCAAAAATTCTACAAAAACAGTGTTTCCAAACTGCTCCATCAAAACAAAAGTTGATCTCTGTGAATTCAACACATGCATCACAAAGCAGTTTCTCAGAAAGCTCCTTTCTAGTTTTTCTCTGAAGATATTTCCTTTTACTCCATAGGCCTCAATGAACTCCCAAATATCCCTTCTCAGATTCTACAAAAAGTGTTTCCAAATAGCTCCAATAAAAAAAAAGGTTTAACTCTGTGAGAACAATGCAACATCACAAAGCAGATTCTCAGAAAGCTTCCTTCTAGTTTTTCTCTGAAGATATTCCTTTTTCACCACAGGCCTCAATGCACTCTCAAATATCCCTTTGCAAATTCTACAAAAACACTGTTTCCAAATAGATCCATCAAAAGAAAGTTTTAACTCTGTGAGATGAATGCACACATCACAAATCAATTTCTCAGAAAGCTTCTTTCTAGTTTTTATCTAAAGATATTTCCTTTTGGACCACAGGCCTCAATGTCTCCCCAAATATCCCTTCGCAGATTCTAAACAGTGTTTCCAAACTGTTCAATTAAAAGAAATGTTTAACTCTGTGAGATGAATGTACACATCAAAAAGCAGTTTCCCAGAAAGCTTCTTTCTAGGTTTTCTCTGAAGATATTTCCTTTTTCACCATAGGCCTCAATGCTCTCCCCAATATCACTTCGCAGATTTTAGAAAAACAGTGTTTCCTAACAGATCCATGAAAAAAAGTTTTAACTCAGTGAGATGAATATAGTCATAACAAATCAGTTTCTCAGGAAGCTTATTTCTATTTTTCATCTAGTGAGATTTCCTTTTTGACCATAGACGTCAATGCACTCCCAAATATCCTTTTGCTGTTTCTACAAAAACAGTGTTTCCAAACTGCTCCATAAAGAAAAGGTTTCACTGTGTGAGATGAATGAACACATCACTAATCAGTTTCTCAGAAAGCTTCTTTCTTGTTTTTCTTTTAAGACATTTCCTTTTTCACAATAGGTCTCAATGCACTCTCAAATATCCCTTCATTGATCTACAAAAACACTGCTTTCGAGCTGCTCCATCAAAAGAAATATTTAACTATGTGAGGAGAATGCACACATCACAAATCAGTTTCTCTGAAAGTTTATTTTTGTTTTTTATCTAAACATATTTCATTTTTTACCATAGACCTCAATGTTCTCCCTAATAACCCTTGGCACTTTCTAAAAAAACAGTGTTTCCAAACTGCTCAATCAAAAGAAATGTTTAACTCTGTGAGATGAATGCACACATCACAAAGCAGTTTCTCAGAAAGATTGTTTCTAGTTTTTCTCTGAAGTTATTTCCTTTTTCACCATAGTCCTCAATATGCTCCCAAGTATCCCTTTGCAGAATCTACAAAAACAGTGTTTGCAAACTGCTAAACCAAAAGAAAGGTGTGAGTCTGTGAGATGAGTGCAAATATCACAAAGCGGTTTTGCAGAAAGTTTCTTTCTAGTTTTTATCTGAAGATATTTCCTTTTTCACCACAGGCTTCAAAATGATCCTAAATATCCCTTCGCAGATTCTACAAAAACAGTGTTTCCAAACTGCTCCATCAAAGAAAGGTTTTACTCTGTAAGATGAATGCACACTTTACAAAGCAGGTTCTTAGAAAGTTCCTTTCTACTTTTTATTAGAAAATATTTCCTTTTTCACCATAGACCTCAATGTGCTCCTAAATATCCCTTTGCAGATTCAACAAAAATAGTGCTTCCAAAATGCTCCATTTTGGAGCACAGGTTTAACTCTGTGAGATGAATGCACACATCACAAAAGATTATCAGAAAACTTCTTAATGCATTTTCTCTTAAGATATTTCCTTCTTCACCATAGGCCTCAACAAGCTTCCAAATATCCCTTCATAGATTCTAAAAAAAAGTGCTTCCAAACTGCTCAATCAAAAGGTAAGTTTAACTCTTTCAGATGAATGCATACATGACAAAGCAGTTTCTCAGAAAGATTCATTCTAGTTTTTCTCTGAAGGTGTTTCATTTTTCACATTAGGCTTCAATGCACTTCCAAATATCCCTTTGCAGATCCTAAAAAACAGTGTTTCCAAAGTGCTCCATCAAAAGAAAGGTTTAACTCTTTGAGATGAATGCACACATCACAAAGCAGTTTCTCAGAAAAATTCTTTCCTTTTTTTCCTCTGAAGATATTTCCTTTTTCACCATAGGCCTCCATGCACTCTCAAATATCCCTTCAGAGATTCTACAAAAAGCATGGTTACAAACTGATCCATCAAAAGTAAAGATTAACTCTGTGATATGAATGCACATATCAGAAAGCAGTTTCTCAGAAAGCTTCTTTGTACATTTTCCCTGAAGATATTTCCTGTTTCACCATAGGCCTAAATGTGCTCCCAAATATCCCTTGGCAGTTTCTACAAAAACAATGTTTCCAAACTGCTCAATCAAAAGAAAGGTTTAACTCTGTGAGGTGAATGCACACATCATGAAGCAGTTTCTCAGAAAGCCTCTTTCTAATTTCTCTCTGAAGTTATTTCTTTTTTGACCACAGACCTCAGTATGCTCCCAAATATCCCTTTGCAGATTCTACAAAAACAGTGTTTTGAAACTGCTCTATCAAAGGAAAGCTTTAGCTTTGTGAAATAAAAGGACACGTCACAAAGCAGTTTCTCAGAAAGCTTATTTCTAGTTTTTCTCTGAAGATACTTCCTGTGTCATCACAGGCCTCAATGCACTCCCAAATATCCAGTTGCAGATTCTACAAAAACAGTGTTTCCAAACTGATCCATAAAAAGAAAGGTTTAAGTCTGTGAGATGAATAAATACATCACAAAGCAGTTTCTCTGAAAGCTTCTTTCTGGTTATTCTCTGAAGATATTTCCTTTTTCACTGTAGGCCTCCATGTGCTCCCAAATATCCCTTCAGAGATTCTCCAAAAACAGTGTTTTCTAACTGCTCCATCAAAAGAAAGGTTTAACTCTCTGAGGTGAATACACAAATCACAAAGCAGTTTCTCAGAAAGCTTCTTTATAGTTTCTCTAAAGACATCTCCTTTTTCACTGTAGGCCTCAATGCACTCCCTAATATCCCTCCACAGATTCTACAAAAACGGTGCCCCAAACTCCTACATCAAAAGAAATGATTACCTCTGTGTTGACTGCACACATTGCAAGCCAATTTCTCAGAAAGCTTCTTTCTAGTTGTTCTCTGAAGATATTTCCTTACTCACCATTGGCCTCAATGCACTCTCAAATATCCTTTGGCAGATTCTACAAAAACATTGTTTTCCAACTTGCTGAATGAAAAGAAAGGTTTACCTCTGCGAGATGAATGGGTACACCACAAAGTGGTTTCTCTGAGATCTTCCTTCTAGTTTTAATCATTTGATATTCCCTTCTTTGCCTTTGGCCTCAAGGAGCTACCAAATGTCCATTCACAGATTTCAACAAAAACTGTGTTTCCAAACTGCTGAATCCAAACAAATGTTTAACTCTGTGAGATGAATGCTCACATCAGAAAGCAGTTTCTCAGAAAGGTTCTTTCCAGTTTCCATATGAAGATGTTTCCTTTTTCACCATGGGCCTCAATGTGCTCCCAAATATCCTGTCACAGACTCTACAAAAATAGTGCTTCCAATCTGCTGAATGAAAAGAGAGGTTTAACTCTGTGAGATGAATGCACACATCACAAAGCAGTTTCTCAGAGAGGTTCCTTCTAGCTTTTATCCTGGGATATTCACTTTGTCACCATTGGCCTAAATGGACTCCCAAATGTCCATTCACCAAATGGACAAAAACAGTGTTCCTAAACTACTGAATCCAAAGAAAGTTTTAACTCTGTGAGATGAAGCCACACATCACAAAGCAGTTTCTCAGAAATCCTCTTTCTAGTTTTAATCTGAAGATGTTTCCTTTTTCACCATAGGCCACAATGCACCCCCAATTATCCTATTGCAGAGTCTACATCAACAGTGTTTCCAAACTGTTGAATGAAAAGAAAGTTTTAACTCTGCAGGATGAATGCACACATCTTAAGGCAGTTGCTCAGACAGCTTCCTTCTAGTTTTTATCCTTGGATATTCACTTTTTTGCCTTTGACCTCATTGAGCTCCCAACTGTCCATTCACAGAATGGACAAAAACAGTGTTTCCAAATTGCTGAATCCAAAGAAAAGTTTAACTCTCTGAGATGAAATCACACATGACAAAGCAGTTTCTCAGAAAGCTTCTTTCTAGTTTTTATCTGAGGATGATTCCTGTTTCACCATAGTCCTCAATGCATTTAGAATATCCCTTTACAGATTTTACAAAAACAGTATTTCCAAAATACTGCATGAAAAGAAAGGTTTAACTCTGTGAGATGAATACACACATCACAAAGCAGTTTCTCAGATAGCTTCCTTCTAGTTTTTATATGGAATATTCCCTTCTTCGCCATTGGCTTCAATGAGATTCCCAATGTCCATTCTCAGAATGCACAAAAACGGTGTTTCAAAAATGTTTCAGAAAAGAAAGGTTTAAGTCTGCGAGATGGAATGCACACATCACAATTCGGTTTCTCAGATAGCTTCCTTCTAGGTTTTATATTCGTTTTGTTGCCATTGGCCTCAATGAGCTCCCAAGTATCCATTTGCAGAATTCACAAAAACAGTGTTTCCAAACTGCTGAATTCAAGAAAGGTTTAACTCTGTGAGATGAATGCACACATCAAAAAGCAGTTTCTCAAAAGCTTCTTTCTTCTTTTTACCTGAAGATGTTTCCTTTTTCACCATACACCTCAATGCACTCCCAAATATCTCTTTGCAGATTCTACATCAACAGTGTTTGTAAACTGCTGAAGGAAAAGAAACGTATAACACTGCGATATGAATGCAAACATTACAAAGCTGTTTCTCAGAGAGCTTCCTTCTAGTTTTTCTCCGGGTATATTACATTTTTTTGCCATTTGCCTCAGTGAACTTCCAAATGTCCATTTGCAGAATGGACAAAAGCAGTGTTTCCAAACTGCTGAATCCAAAAAAGTTTAACTCTGTGGACAAATGCACAAATCACAAAGCAGTTTCTCAGAAGCCTTCTTTCTAGTTTTTATCTGAAGAAGTTTCCTTTTTCACCCTAGGCCTCAAAGTACTCCCAATTATCCCTTCACAGATTCTACAAAATAGTGTTTCCAAACTGCTCAATCAACAGAAAGGTTTAACTCTGTGAGATCAATGCACACTTCACAAAGAAGTTTCTCAGAAAGCTTCTTTCTAGTTATTGTCTGAAGATATTTCCTTTTTGACTGAAGGCCTCAATGCACTCCCAAATATCCCTTCGTGGATTCTACAAAAACAGTGTTTCCAGACTTCTCAATCAAAGGAAATGTTTAAGTCTATGAGCTGAATGCACACATCACAAATCAGTTTCTCTGAAAGTTTCTTTCTAGTTTTTATCTGAAGATATTTCCTTTTTCAAAATAAGTCTCAAAGTGCACCCAAATATTCATTTGCAGATTCTACAAAAACAGTGTTTCCAACCTGCTGAAACAAAAGAAAGGTTTGAGTCTGTGAGATGAATGCACACATCACAAAGCAGTTTCTCCAAAAGCTTACTTCTTTTTTTTCTCTGAAGTTATTTTCTTTTTCACCATAGGTCTCAATGCACTCCCAAGTATCCTGTCATAGTTTCTCCAAAACCATGATTCCAAACAGCTCCATCAAAAGAAAATTATAACTCTGTGAAATGAATGCACCCCATAACAACTCAGTTTCTCAGACAGCATCTTTATAGTTTTTCTCTTAAGATACTTCATTTTTTACCATAGGCCTAAATACGGTGCCAAATATCACTTTGCAGATTCTACAAAAACAGTGTTTCCAGACTTCTCCATCAAAAGAAAGGTTTAACTCTGTGAGATGAATGGAAACGTCACAAAGCAGCTTCTCAGAAAGGTTCTTCCTAGTTTTTATCTGAAGATAATTCCTTTTTCACCGTAAGCCTCAATGAGTACCAAAATATCCATTTGTAGTTTCTACAAAAACAGTGTTTCCCACCTGCTCAAACAAAAGAAAAATATGAGTCTGTAAGATGAATGCAAGCATTACAAAGTAGTTTCTCAGAAAGTCTCTTTGTAGTTTTTCTTGAAGATATTTCCTTTTTCACCATCAGCCTCAATTCTCTCCCAAATATCCAGTTGCCAATTCTACAAAAACAGTCTTTGCAAACATCTCCATGAAAAGAAATGTGTAACTCAGTGAGATGAATGTGCACATCACAAACCAGTTTCTCAGAGGGCTTCTTGCTAGTTTTTATCTAAAGATATTTCCTTTTTGAACACAAGCCTCAGTGCACTCCAAAATATCCCTTCGCAAATTCTAAAAAACAGTGTTTCCAAACTGCTCCATCAAAAGAAAGGTTTAACTCTATATGTTTAATGCACACATCACAAACCAGTTTCTCAGAGGGCTTCTTTGCAGTTTTCTCTTAAGACATTTCATTTTAAACCATAGGCCTCAAGGCCCTCCCAAATATCCCTTCATAGATTCTACAAAAGCAGTGTTGCCAAACATTTCCATCAAAAGAAAGGTTTAACTCTGTGAGATGAATGCACACATCACAAATCAGTTTCTCAGAAAGTTTCTTTCTTGTTTTTCTCTGAAGATATTTCCTTTTCACTATAGGCCTCAATGAGATCTGTATTATCTCTTTGCACATTTTACAAAAACATTGTTCTCAAAAAGCTCCATCAAAAGAAAAGTTTACCTCTGTGAAATGAATGCACACATCACAAATTAGTTTCTCAGAAAGCTTCCTTCTAGTTTTTATCTAAAAATATTTCCTTTTTGACCATAGGCCTCAATGAGCTCCAAAATATCCCTCAGAGTTTCTACAAAAACAGTATTTCCAAACTGCTCCATCAAAAGAAAGGTTTATTCCTTTGAGATGAATGCACAGATCACAAAATGGTTTCTCAGAAGACATTTTTTTTGTTTTTTTTCTGAAGATATTTCCTTTGTCACCATAGGACTCAATGCACTCTCAAATATCCCTTTGCAGAATTTGTGACAACAATATTTCCAAACTGCTTCATCACAAAAACGTTTCACTCTGTAAGATGACTGCACACACAACAAATAGTTTCTCAGAAAGCATCTTTATATTTTTTCTCTTATTTCCTTTTCTGCCATAGTCTTTGATGTGCTCCCAAATATCTCTTTGCAGATTCCATAAAAGCAGTGTTTCCAAACTGCTCCATCAAAAAGAGATTTGACTCTGCAAGATGAATGCGCACATCACAAAACAGTTGCTCAGAAAGCTTCTTTCCAGTTTTTTTCTGAAGATATTTCCTTTTTCAACATAGGCCTCAATGCACTCCAAAATATGCCTTCACAGATTCTACAAAAACAGGGTTTCCAAATTCCTCATTAAAAAGAAAGGTTTACCTAGGTGATTTAAATACACACATCACAAAGCAGTTTCTCAGAAAGCTTCTTTCTAGTATTTATCTGAAGATATTTCCTTTTTCACCATAGGCCTCAATGCACTCCCAAATATCACTTCACAGATTCTACAAAAACAGTGTTGCCAAACATTTCTACCAAAAGAAATGTTTACATCTGTGAGATGAATGCACAAATCACAAATCAGTTTCTCAGGAAGCATCTTTCTTGTTTTTCTCTGAAGATATTTTCTTTTCCACCATAGACCGCACGGCACTCCCTACTATCCCTTCGCAGATTATACAAAAACAGTGCCTCCAAACTGCTCAATAAAAAAAAAGCTTTTGTTCTGTGAGACAAATGCACACATTACAAAGCAGTTTCTCAGAAAGCTTCTTTCATGTTTTTCTCTGAAGACATATCCTTATTCACCGTAGGCTTCAATGCGCTCCCAAATATCACTTCACAGATTTTATAGAAAGAGTGTTTCCAAACTGCTCCCTTAAAAGAAAAGTTTTGATTGTGTGAGATGAATGCTCACATCACAAAGAAGTTGCTCAGAAAGCTTCTTTCTAGTTTTTATCTGAAGATAATTCCTCATTCAACATAGGTCTCAATGAGCCCCCAAATATCCCTTCCTGGATTCTACAAAAACAGTGTTTCCAAACTTCTCCATGAAAAGAAAGTTGTAACTCTGTGAGATGAATTCATACATCACAAATCGGTTTCTCAGAAAGCTTTTTTCTATTTTTTCTCTAAGGATGTTTCCTTTTTCACCATTGTCCTCAATGCACTCCCAAATATCTCTTCGCAGATTCTTAGAAAAGTGTTTCCAAACTGTTCAACCAAGAGAAATGTTTGAGTCTGTGAGATGAATGCACACATCAGAAATCATTTTCTCAGAAAACTTCTTTCTGGTTTTTCATTGAAGATATTTCCTTTTTCATCATAGGCCTCATTGCCCTTCCAAATAACTCTTCTCAGATTCTGCAAAAACAGTGTTTCCAAACTGCTCAATCAAAAGAAAGGATTAACTTTCTGAGATGAATGAATACATCACAAGTCAGTTTCTCAGAAAGCCTCTTTCTACATTTTATCTGAAGATATTTTCTTTGTGACCATAAGCCTCAATGTGCTCCCAAATATTCCCTCGAAGATTCTATAAAAACAGTGTTTCCAAACTGCTCCATTGAAAGAAAGGTTTACCTCTGTGAGATGGATGCACACATCACCAAGATGTTTCTCAGAAAGGTTCTTTCTAATTTTATTCTGAAGATGTTTTCTTTTTCACAATTGGCCTCAATGCACTCCCAAATATCACTTCAAAGATTCTACAAAGCCAGTGCTTACGAACTGCTCCACCAAAAGAAATGTTTAATTCTGTGAGATGAATGCACACATCCTGAAGCAGTTTCTCAGAAAGCTTGTTTCTAGTTCCTCTCTGAAGATATTTGCCTTTTCAACATAGGCCTCAAAGCACACTGAAATACACGTTCATAGATTTTACTAAAGCAGTGTTTCCAAACTACTGAGTGACAGGAAAGGTTTAATTCAAGGATATTAATGCACACATCACAAAGTAGCTTCTCAGTAAGCTTCCTTCTAGTTTTTCTCTGAAGTTATTCCCTTTTTCACTATAAGCCTCAATCCCTTCGTAGATTCCAAAAAACCAGTGTTTCCAAACTTCTAAATCAAAAGAAAGGTTTAAGAGTGTGAGATGAATGCATGCATCACAAAGCTCTTTCTCAGAGAGCTTCTTTCAAATTTGCACCTGAAGATATTTCCTTTTCCACCATAGGCTTCAATGTGCTCCCAAATATCTCCTCACTGATTCTACAAAAAGAGTGGTTCCAAACTGCTCAACCAGAAGAAAGTTTTGAATCTGTGAGATGAATGCACACATCAAAAAGCAGTTTTTCAGCAAGCCTCTTTCTAGTTTTTCTCTGAAGATATTTCCTTTTTCACCATAGGTCTCAACAAACTCCCAAATATCCCTGCAGATCCTAGAAAAACATTTCTTCCAAACAGCTACAGCAAAAGAAATGTTCAACACTGTGAGATGAAGACACACATCACATATCAGTTTCTCAGAAAGTTTCTTTCTGGTTTTTAACTAGATATTTCCTTTCTCATCATAGGCTTCAATGTGATACCAAATATCCCTTCAATGATTCTACCAAAGCAGTGTTTCCAAATTGTACCTTCAAAAGAAAGGTTTAACTCTGTGTGATGAATTCACACAACACAAAGCAATTTCTCAGAAAGGTTCTGCCTAGTTTTTATCTGAAGATATTTCCTTTTAAACCATAGGCCTCAATATGATCCAAAGTATGTCTTCACAGATTCTACAAAAACAGTGTTTCCAAAGTGCTCAACCAAAAGAAAGGTTTAACTCTGTGAGATGAATGCGTACTTCGCAAAGCAGTTTCTCAGAATGCTTCTTTCTAGTTTTTCTCTGAAGATGTTTCCTTTTTCACCATAGTTCTCAATGTGCTCTGAACTATGCCTCAGCAGAATTTACAAAACGGTGTTTCCAAACTGTTCCATCAAAACAAAGGTTTAACTCTGAGATGAATGCACACAGTGCATAGCAGTTTCTCAGAATGTTTCTTACTAGTTTTTCTGTGAGGATATTTACTTTTTCACCATAACCATCGATGAGCTCCCAAATATCCCTTTGCAGATTCTACAAAAACAGTTTCCAAACTGCTCAATCAAAAGGAATGTTTAACGCTGTGAGATGAATGCACACATCACAAATCAGTTTCCCTGAAAGTTTCTGTCTAGTTCTTACTTAAAGATATTTGCTTTTGGACCATAGACCTCAATACACTCCCAAATATCAGTTGGTATTTTCTACAAAAACAGTGTCTCCAAGCTGCCCCATCAAAAGAAGGTTTTTAACTCTGTGAGATGAATGCACACATCACAAAGCAGTTTCTCAGAAGTCTTCCTTCTAGTTTTTCACCAAAGATAATTCCTTTCTCACCATAGCCCTCAATGTGCTCTCTAATATCCCTTCACAGAATCGATGAAAACAAGGTTTCCAAACTGCTCCATCAAAAGAAATGTTTAACACTGTGAGATGAATGCACACATCACAAATCAGTTTCTCAGAAAGATATTCTTTCATTTTTATCTAAAATATTTCCCTTTGGACAATGTGTCTCAATGTGCTCCTGAATATCTCTTTGCAGATTCTACAAAAACAGTGTTTCCAAACTGCTCTGACAAAAGAAAGGTTTAACTCTGTGAGATGAATGCACACATCCCAAAGCAGTTTCCAAGGGAATTTCCTTCTAGTTTTTATCCTGGGATTTTCACTTTCTCACCATTGGCCTCACTGAGCTCCAAATTGTCCTTTCACACAATGGACAAAAACAGAGTTTCCTAACTGTTGAATCCAAAGAAAGTTTTAACTCTGTGAGATGAATGCATGCATTACAAAGCAGTTTCTCAAGAAAGCTTCTTTCTACTTTTTAACTGAAGATATTTCCTCCTTTTTCACCATAGGCCTCAATGCACTCCCAAATATCCCTTTACAGATTCTACAAAAACAGTGTTTCCAAAGGGCTGAATGAAAAAAAAAAATAACTCTGCCAGATCAATGCACACAGCACAAAGCAGTTTCTCAGATAGCTTCCTTCCAGTTTTCATCCTGGGATATTCAGTTTTTCTCCATTGGCCTCTATGAGCTCCCAAATGTCCATTTGCCAAATGGACAAATGTAGTGTTTCCAAACTGCCATATGCAAAGAAAGGTTTTACTCTGTGAGATGAATGCACACATCACAAACCAGTTTCTCAGAAAGTTTTTTGTAGTTTTTATCTAAGTATGTTTCCTTTCTCACCATAGGCCCCAATGTGTGCTCATATATCCCTTCTCATATTCTACAACAACAGTGTTTCCAAACTGCTGAATGAAAAGTAAGTTTTAACTCTACGAGATGAATGCATACCTCAGAAAGCTGTTCCTCAGACCCCTTCATTCCAGTTTTTATCCTAGGATATTTGCTTTTTCACCATTGGCCTCAAAGAGCTCCATTCTCAGAATGGACATAAACAGTGTTTCCAAACTGCAGAATCCTAAGAAAGATTTATCTCTTTTAGATGAATGCACATAAGACAAAGCAGGTTCTCAGAAATCTCCTTTGTAGTTTTTATCTGATGATGTTTCCTTTTTCAACATAGGACTCAATATGTTCCCAAATATCCCTTCGTAGCTTCTACAAAAACAGTGTTCCTAAACTGCTGAATCCAAAGGATGGTTTAACTTTGTGTGATGAATGCACACATCAGAAAGAGGTTTCTCAGAGAGCTTCCTTCTGGTTTTTATCCTGGGATATTCAGTTTTTAACATTGGCCTCAATGAGCTCCAAAATGTCCATTAGCAGAATGGACAAAATCAATGTTTCCAAACTGTTGAGTCCAACAGTTTAACTCTGTGAGTTGAATGCACACATCACAAATCAGTTTCTCAGAAAGCTTCTTTCTAGGTTTTATCTGAAGTAGTTTCCTTTTTCATTATAGACCCCAATGCATTCCAAAATAACCCTTCACATATTCTACAAAACACAGTGTTTCCAAGCTGCTGAATGAAAATAAAGGATTAACTCTGTGAGATGAATGCACACATCACAAAGCAGTATCTCTGATAGCTTCCTTCTAGATTTTATGCTGGTGTATTCACTTTTTCACCATTGGCCTCAATGAGCTCACACATGTCAATTCACAGAATGGACAAAAACAGTGTTTCCAAAATACTGAATCCAAAAAAAGTTTAGCTCTGTGAATCGAATGCATATATCATAATCCAGACTCTCAAGAAAGATTTTTTGTACTTGTTAGCTGAAGATGGTTCCTTTTTCATCATAGGCCTCAATATGCTCCCAAATATCCCTTTGCAGATTCTACAAAAATGGTGTTTCTAAACTGCTGAAGGAAAAGAAGAGTTGAACACTTTGAGTTGAATGCACACACCATGAAGCAGTTTCTCAGAGAGCTTCTTTCTAGTTTTTATCTGAAGATGTTTCCGTTTTCACTGTAAGCCTCAATTTGCTCCCAAATATCCCTTCACAGATTCTACAAAAACAGTGTTTCCAAACTGCTGAGTGAAAAGAAAGATTTACCTCTATGAGATGAATTCACACATCACAAAGCAGTTTCTCAAATAGCTTCCTTCTAGTTTTTATCATGGGTTATTTGCTTTTTTGCCATTGGCCTCAATGATCTCCCAATTTCCTAGCAGAATGCATAAAAACAGTTTCCAAGCTGCTGAATACAAAGAAACTTTTAACTGTCTCAAATGAATGCACACATCACAAAGTGGATTCTCAGAAAGGTTCTTTCTAGTTTTTATCTGAAGATATTTCCTTTTTCACCATAAGCCTCAGTGTACTCCCAGGTATCCCTTCACAGATACTATAAAAACATTGTTTCCAAACTGCTGAATGAAAATAAAGGTTACTTCTGCAAGATGAGTGCCCACATCTCAAAGCAGATTCTCAGATAGCTTCCTTCTGATTTTTATCATGTGATATTCACTTTATCACCATTGGCCTCAATGAGCTCCTAAATGGCCATTCGCAGAATGGACAAAAACAGTGTTTTCAACTGCTGAATCCAGAGAAATGTTTACCTCTGTTAGATGAATGCACACATGACAAAGCAGTTTATCAGAAAGCTTCTATCTAGTTTTATCTTATGATTTTTCCTTTTTTAACAGAGGCCTCAATGTGCTCTGAAATATCCCTTTGTAGGTTCTACAAAAACAGTGACATCAGAGTGCTCAATGAAAAGAAAGGTTTAACTCTGTGAGATGAATGCACACATCACAAAGAAGTTTCTCAGAAAGCTTCTTTCTAGTTTTCCCCTGAAGATATTTCCTTTTTGACCTTAGGCCTCAATGCGTTCCAAAACATCCCTGCACTGATTCTACATAAGCAGTGTTTCTAAACTACTCAATCAAAAGAAAAGTTTAACTCTGTGAGACGCATGTACACATCAGGAAGTAGTTTCTCGGAAATCTGCTTTCTAGTATTTTTCTGAAGATATTTCCTTTTCACCATAATCCTCAATGCCCTCCCTAATATCCTTTTGCAGATTCTGCAAAAATGATGTTTCCAAAGGGCTCAATAAAAAACGGTTTAATTTTGTGAGATGAATGCACACATCACAAAGCAGTTTCTCAGAAAGCTTCTTTCTAGTTTTTGTCTGAAGATGATTCCTTTTTCACCATAGGCTTCAAAGTGCTCCGAAATATCCCTTTGCAGATTCTACAAAAACAGTGTTTCCACAGTGCTTTATCCAAAGAAAGGTTTAACTCTGTGAGATGAATATAATCATTATAAAACAGTTTCTCAGAAAGCTTCTTTCTAGTTTTTCTCTGAAGATATTTCCTTTTTCAAAATAGGCCTCAATGCCCTCCAAAATATCCCTTCACAGATTCTACAAAAACAGTGTTTCCAAACTGCTTTATCAAAGAAAAGGTTTAACTCTATGAGACAAATGCACAGATCACAAAGCAGTTTCTTAGAAAAATTTTCTAGTTTTTATCTGTAGATATATACTTTTTGACCATAGGCCCCAATGCACTCCCAAATACTCCTCCACAGATTCTTCAAAACCAGTGTTTCCAAACTGTTCCATGAAAGGTTTAACTCTGTGAGATGAATGCTCACGTCTAAAAACAGTTTCTCAGAAAGATCCTTTCTAGTTTTTCTTTTAAGATATTTCCTTTTTCACCACAGGCCTCAAGGTGCTCCTAAAAAATCCCTGCAAAGATTCGACAAAAACAGTGCTTCCAAAATGCTCATCAAAAGGTAGGTTTAACTCTGTGAGATGAATGCACACATCACAAACCAGTTTCTCAGAAAGCTTCTTTCTAGTTTTTCTCTGTAGATGTTGACTTTTTCACCTTAGGCCTCAATGTGCTCCCAAATATCCCTTTGGAGATTCTACAAAAACAGAGTTTCCAAATTGCTCCATCAAAAGAAAGGTTTAACTCTATGAGATGGATGCACACATCACAAAGCAGTTTCTCAGAAAGTTTCTGTGTAGTTCCTCTCTGAAGATATTTCCTTTTTCACCATAGGCCTCCAGGCACTCTCAAATATCCCTTCACAGATTCTATGAAAACTTTCTTTCCAAAGTGCTCCATCAATAGGAATATTTTACTCAGTGAGATGAAAGCACACATCAGAAAGCAGTTTCTCAGAAAGATTCTTTCTTTTTTTTCTCTGAAGATATTTACTTTTTCATTATAGCACTCTATTGATTCCCTAATATGCCTTCACAGATTCTACAAAAACTGTGTTTCAAAAGGCTCCATCAAAAGAAAGGCTTAACTCTGTGAGACGAATGCACAAATCACAGATCAGTTTGTCAGAAAACTTATTTCTAGTTTCTCTTAAGATAAATCCTTTTTCACCATAGTCCTCAAAGCACTCCCAAATATCCCTCACAGATTCTAAAAAACAGTGTTTCCAAACTGCTCAATCAAAAGGAAGGTTTAACTCTGTGGAATGAATACACACATCACAAAGCAGTTTGTCAGAAAGCTTCTTTCTAGTATTTCTCTGAAAATATGTATTTTTCACTGTAGGCCTCAATGCGGTCCCAATATGCCTTCACACATTCTAGAAAAACAGTGTTTACAAACATCTCCACGAAAAAAAGGCTTTAACTCTGTGAGATGAATGGAAGCTTCACAAATCAGTTTCTCAGAAAGCTTCCATAAATTTTCTCTAATGATATTTCCTTTTTCTATGTAGGCCTCAATATGTTCCCAAATATCCATTCGCAGATTCTACCAAAACAAAGTAGCCAAACAGGTCCAACAAAAGAAACATTTAACTCTGCCAGATGAATGGACACATCAAAAAGCAGCTTCTCAGAAAGCTTCCTTCTTGTTTTTCTCTGAAGATATTTCCATTTATACAATAAGCCTCAATGTGTTCCCAAATATCTCTTTGCACATTCTACTAAAACAGTGTTTTAAAACAATTCCAAGCAAAGAAATGTTTACCTCTGTGAGATGAATGCCCACATCCCAAACAGGTTTCTCAGAAAGTTTCTTTCTAGTTTTTATCTAAAGATACTACCTTTTTCACCATAGGCCTCAATTCGCTCCCAAATAACCATTCACAGACTCCACAAAAACAGTGCTTCCAAACTGCTCAATCGCAAGAAAGGTTTAATGTGTGAGATGAATGGGCACAACAAAAAGCAGTATCTCAGAAACCTTGTTTCCGGTTTTTCTCTGAAGATATTTTCTTTTTCACTGTAGGCCTCAATACAGTCCCAATTATCCCTTTGCAGATTCTCCAGAAACAGTGTTTCCAAACCGCTACATCAAAAGGAAGGTTCGTCTCTGTGAGGTGAATGCACAGAAAACAACAAAGCAGTTTCTCAGAGAGCTTCTTTCTAGTTTTTCTCTGAAGATATTTCCTTCTTGAACACAGGCCTATGTGTGTTCCCAAATATCCCTTCTCAGATTCTACAAAAACACTTATTCCAAACTGCTCAATCAAAAGAAAGGTTTAACTCTGTGAGGTGAATGCACACATCACAAAGCAGTTTTCCAGAAGGCTTCTTTCTATTTTTTCTCTGAAGATGTTTCATTTTTCACCATAGGCCTCAATGCGCCTATGGCCTAAATACCATTTTGCAGATTCTACAAAAACAGTGTTGTTTCCCAACTGCACCATCAAAGGAGTGCTTTACCTCTGTGAAATGAATGCACTCATCAAAAAGCAGTTTCATAGAAAGATTATTCCTTGTTTTATTCTTAAGATATTTGCTTTTTCACCGTAGGCCTCAATGTGCTCCCAAATATCCATTTGCAGATTCTAAAAAAACAGTGTTTCCAAACTGCTGTGTCAAAGGAAACTTTTAACTCAGGGAGATGAATGCACACATCACAAAACAGTTTCACAGAAAGCTTCTTTCTAGTTTTTCTCTGAATATGTTTCCTTTTTCACCATAGGACACCCAAACATCCCTTCACAGACTCTACAAAAGCAATGTTTCCAAACTGCCTCATGAAAAGAAAGGTTTATCTCTGTGAGCTGAATGTCCACATTGCAAAGAGTTTCTCAGAATCTTCTTTCTAGTTTTCCTGTGAACATATAACCTTTTTCACCATAGGCATCAATGCACTCACAAATATCCCTTCACAGATTCTACAAAAACTATGTTTCCAGACTGCTCCAGACTTTATCTCACAGAGATAAAGTATGGTTTATCTCTGTGAGAGGAATGAACACATAAGTGAAACTGATTTGTGATACATGCATTCATCTCATGGAGTTAAAACTTTCTTTTGATGGAACAGTTTTGAAACACTGTTTTTGTAGAATCTGTGAAGGGATATTTGGGAGTTTATTGAGGCCTATGGCCAAAGATGAAATATCTTTAGATAAAAAATAGAAGGAAGCTTTCTGAGAAACTGCTTTGTGAGGTGTGCATTCATCTCAGAGACTCCAACCTTTCTTTTGGTTGAGCAATTTGGAAACACTGTTTTTGTAGAACCTTATGTGTTATTATGTGAAAGAAGCGTTCTGAGAAACTGATATGTGATATGTGCATTCATCTCACAGAGTTTAACCATTCCTTTGATAAAGCTGTTTGGAAACAGTGTTTTTGTAGAATCTGCAAAGGGATATTTGGGAGTGCATTGAGGACTATGGTGAAAAAGGAAATATGTCTAGCAAAAAGTTAGAGAGAAGCTTTCTGAGAAACTGCTTTTTGATGTCTGAATTCAGCTCACAGAGTTAAACATTTCTTTTGATGAAGCAGTTTGGAAACACTTTTTTTTGGTCGAATCTGTGAAGGGGTATTTGGTAAAGCATTGAGGTCTATGGTGAAAAAGCAAATAGTTTCATAGAAAAACTAGAAAAAGCTTTCTGAGAAACTTATTTGTGATGTGTGCATCTATCTCACAGAGTTAAACTTTTCTTCTGATGGAGCAGCTTGGAAACACAGTTTTTGCAGAATCTGTAATAGATATCTGGGAGCACTTTGAGGCCTAGGGTGAAAAAGGAAATATTTTAAGAGAAAAACTAGAAAGAAACGTTCTGAGAAACTGATTTGTGATGTGTGCATTCATCTCACATTGTTAAACCTTTCTTTTGATGGAGCATTTGGGAAAGACTGTTTTTGTATAACTTGTGAAAGGATATTTGACAGCACTTGTAGGCCTATGTTCAAAAAGGAAATATCTTCAAAGGAAAACTAGAAAGGAGCTATCTGAATATATTCCCCTTTTCACCATAGGCCTCAATGTGCTCCAAATTATCCGTTCACAGTTTCCAAAAAACAGTGTTTCCAAACTGGTCAATCAAAAGAAAGGTTTAACTCTGTGAGATGAATGATGTCAATACAAAGCAATTTCTCAGAAAGATTCTTTCTAAGTTTTATCTAAAGATATTTCCATTTTCACCATAGGCCTGAATGTGCTCCCAAACATCTCTTTGCTGATCCCCCCAAAAACAGTGTCTCCAAACTGATGAATCAAAAGAAAGGTTTAAGTCTGTGAGATGAATGATCACAACATGAAGCAGTTTCTCAGAAACCTTCTTTCTAGTTTTCCTCTGAAGATATTTCCTTTTCCATCATAGGCCTCAATGCGCTCCAAAATATCCCTTCTCAGATTCTACAAAAACAATGTTTCCAAACTGCTAAATCCAAAGAAAGGTTTACATCTATAACATGAATGCACACATCACAAAGTACTTTCTCAAACATCTTCTTTCTTTTTTTTATGTGCAGATGATTCCTTCTTCACCTTAGGCCTTAATGCTCTCCAAAATATCCCTTCACAGAATCTACAATAACAGTGGTTCCAAACAACTCCATCAAAAAAAAGGTTTAACTCTGTCAGATTAATGCATGCATCACAATGCAGTTTCTCAGAAAGCTTCTTTCTAGTTTTTGTATGAAGATGTTTCTTTTTTCACCATAGGCTTCAATGTGCTCCCAAATATCCCTTTCCAGATTCTACAAAAACAGTGTTTCCAAACTGATTCATTCAAAGAAAGGTTTACTTTTTCAAAGTAGGCCTCAATACTCTCCAAAATATCCCTTCGCAGATTCTACTAACACAGTGTTTCCAAACTGCTTTATCAAAGGAAAGGTTTAACTCTGTGAGATGAATGCACACATCACAAAACAGTTTCTCAGAAAGCTTCTTTCTAGTTTTTATCTGAAGACATATACTTTTTGACAGTAGGCCCCAATGTGCTCCCAAATATCCTTGCACAGATTCTTCTAAACCAGTGTTTCCAAAGTGCTCCATCAAAGGAAAGCTTTAACTCTGTGAGATGAATGCAGTCGCCAAAAATAGTTTCTCAGAAAGCTTCTTTTTAATTTTTCTCTTAAGATGTTTCCTTTTTCACCACTGGCCTTAAGGTGCTCCCAAAAATCCATTTGCAGACTCTACAAAAATAGTGTTTCCAAAATGCTCATCAAAAGATAAGTTGAACTCTGTGGGATGAATGCACACATCATACGTCAGGTTCTCAGAAAGCTTCTTTATAGTTTTTCTCTTGAGATATTTCCTTTTTCACCATAGAGATGAATGTGCTCCCAAATATCCCTTTGCAGATTCTACAGAAACAGTCTTTCCTACTGTTCCATCAATAGAAAGGTAAAAGTCTGTGAGATGAATGCACACATCACAAATCAGCTTCTCAGAAAGCTTCTTTCTAGTTTTTCTCTGAAGATATTTCTTTTTTCACCATTTGCCTCCACACCCTCCCAAATATCCCATTGCAACTTCTACAAAAGCAGTGTTTCAAAACTGCTTCATTAAAATAAAAGTTTAAGTCTGTGAGATTAATGCACACATCACAAGTAGGTTTCTGAAAATGATTCTTTCTAGTTTTTCTCTTAAAATATTTTCTTTTTCATCATAGGCTGCAAGGTGCTCCCAAATATCCATTCGCAGATTCTACAGAAACAGTGTTTGCAAACTGCTCCATCAAAAGAAAGGTTTACCTCTGTGAGATGAATGCACAAATAACAAAGCAGTTTCTCAGAAAGCTTCTTTCCAGTTTTTCTCTGAAAGTGTTTCCTTTTTCATCTTAGGGCTCAATGCACTAAAAAATATCCCTTCGCAGATTATACAAAAACAGTGTTTCCAAACTGCTGCATCAAAAGAAAGGTTTAACTCTGTGAGATGAATGTATGCATCACAAAGCAGTTTCTCAGAAAGCTTCTTTCTCATTTTTCTGTGAAGATATTTCCTTTTTACCATAGGCCTCAATGCACTCTGAAATATCCCTTTGCAGATGTGACAAAAACAGTGTTTCCAAACTGCTCCATCAAAAGAAATATTTAACTCTGTAAGCTGAATGCAGACATCACAAAGCAGTTTCTCAGAAAACCTCTTTCTATCTTTTGCCTAAACATTTTCTTTTTTCACCATAGGACTCAATGCACTCCAAAATAACACTTCATGGATTCTACAAACACAACGTTTCCAAACTGCTCAAAAAAAGAAGGTGTGTATCTGTGAGATAAATGCAAACATCACAAAGAAGTTTCTCAAAATCTTCTTTCAATTTTTTCTCTTAGGATATTTCATTTTTCACCATAGGCCTGAAAACACTCCCAAATATAACTTCAGAGCTTCTACAAAAACAGTCTTTCCAAAATGCTCCATCAAAATATAAGTTTAACTCTGTGACATGAACACTGATATCACAAAGCAGTTTCTCTTTCTAAAGAATCTTTAGAAAGATTATTTGTAATTTTTATCAGAGATATTGCTTTTTCACCATATGCCTGAATGCGCTCCCAAATTTCACTTTGCATAATCTACAAAAACAGTGTTTCCAAACTGCTCCATCAAAAGAAAGATTTAACTCTGTGAGATGAATGCACACATCACAAAGAAGTTTCTTAGAAAGCTTCTTTCTATTTTTTACCTAAAGATATTACATTTTTCCCATAGACCTCAATGTGCCCCCAAATATCCCTTCACAGATTATATTAAAACAGTGTTACCAAGCTGCTCAATCAAAACAAAGCTTTTACTCAGGGGTTTGAATGCACACATCACAAAGCAGTTTCTCAGAAAGCTTCTTTCTAGTTTTTCTCTAAAGTTATTTCCTTTTTTACCATAGGTCTCAGTGTGTTCCCAAATATCCGTTCACCGATTCCACAAAAACAGTGTTTCTAAACTGCTCAATCAAAAAAAAAGGTATAACTCTGTGAGATGAATGAACACAACACGAAGCAGCTTATCAGAAAGCGTCTTTCTAGTTTTTCTCTGAAGATGTTTCCTTTTACACCGTAGGCCTCAATGAGCTCCCAAATATCTCTTAGCAGATTCCACAAAAACAGTGTTTCCAAACAGCTCCATCAAAAGAAAGTTTTAACTCTGTGACATGAATGATCACAACACAAACAGCTTATCAGAAACTTTCCTTCTAGTTTTTCTCTGAAGGTATTTCCTTTTTCACCATAGACCTCAATGTGCTTTCAAATATCCCTTCGAAGATTCTACAAAAACTGTGTTTAGAAACTGCTCCATCAAAAGAAATGTTTAACTCTGTGAGCTGAATGCACACGTAAAAGGCAGTTTCTAAGATAGCTTCTTTCTATATTATGGCTAAAGATATTAAATTTTTTACCATAGTCCTCAATGTGCTCCCAAATATCCCTTCACAGATTCTACAGAAACAGTGTTTCCAAACTGCTCCATCAAAAGATAGGTTTAACTCTGCTAGACGAATGCACACATCACAAATCAATTTCTCATAAAATTTCTTTCTGCTTTTTCTCCTAAGATAAGTCATTTTTCAATGTAAGTGTGAATGTGCTCCCAAATATCTCTTCACAGATTCTATAAAAAGAGTGTTTCCAAACTGCTCCATCCATAGGAATGTTTAACTCTGTGAGATGAATGCACAAAACACAAAGCAATTTCTCAGACAGCTACTCTGTAGGTTTTCTCTGAAGATATTTCCTTTTGCACCATAGGCCTCAAGGCGCTCCCTAGTATCGCTTCACAGATTCTACAAAAGCAGCGTTTCCAAACTACACAATCAAAAGAATAGATTAACTCTGTGAGACGAATGCACACATCACAAATCAGTTTCCTAAAAAGCGTCTTTCTAGTGTTTATCTGAAGATATTTCCTTTTTCACCATAGGCTTCAATGTGCTCACAAATATCCCTTCACAGATTATACAAAAACAGGGCTTCCAAACTGCTCCATCAAAAGAAAAGATTAACTCTGTGAGATGAATGCACACATCACAAATCAGTTTCTCAGAAAGCTTCTTTCTAGTTCTTCTCTGAGCATAATTCATTTTTCCACATAGGCCTCAATGCACTCCCAAATATATCTTCACAGATTCTACAAAAACAGTTTTCCAAACTGCTCCATAAAAGAAAGGGTAAACTCTATGATATGAATGCACTCATACAAAGCAGTTTCTCAGAAAGCTTCCATCTAGTTTTTATCTGAAGCTATTTCCTTTTTCACCATAGGCATCAAAGCACTCCTAAAAATGTCTAAGCGGAACAGTGTTTCCAAACTGCTCAATCAAAAGAAATTTTTAACAGTGAGAGTTGATTGCAAACTACTCAAAACAGTTTATTAGAAAGCTTCATTCTAGTTTTTCTCTGAAGATATTTACTTTTTCACAATAGGCCTCAATATGTTCCCAAATATCCCTTCACAGATTCTACAAAAGCAGTATTTCCAAACTGCTCAATCAAATGAAATGTTTAACCCTGTGAGCTGAATGCAAACATCACAAAGCAGTTACTCAAAAAGCTTCTTTCTAGTTTTTCTCCAAAGATATTTAGTTTTTCACCATAGACCTTGATGCATTCCCAAATATACCTTCTCAGATTCTACAAAAACAGTGTTTCCAAACTACTCCATCAAAAGTAAGTGTTATCTCTGTGAGTTGAATGCACACATCACAAAGCAGTTTCTCAGAAAGCTTCTTTATAATATTTATGTGAAGATAGTTCATTTTTCACCACAGGCCTCATGCACTCCCAAATATCCCTTCACAGACTCTATAAAAGCAGTGGTTCCAAACTACTTCATCAAAAGAAAGGTTTAACTCTGTGAGATGAATGCACACATCACAAATTCGTTTGTCAGAAAACTTCTTTCTAGGTTTTCTTAAGATATATCCTTTTTCACCATAGTGCTCAAGGCACTCCCAAATATCCCTTCACAGATTCTAAAACACAGTGTTTCAAAACTGCTCAATCAAAGAAATGTTTAACTCTGTAAGATGACGGGACAGCTCACAAAACAAGTTCTCAGAAATCTTCTTTCTAATATTTATCTGAAAACATATCTGTTTCACTGTAGGCCTCAATACGCTCCAAAATATCCCTTTGCAGATTCTAGAAATACAGTGTTTCCAACCAGCTCCATCAAAAGAAAGCTTTAACTCTGTGAGATAAATGGACACATCGTAAATCAGTTTCTCAGAAAGCTTGTATAAATTTTCTCTAATGATATTTCCTTTTTCGCTATAGACTTCAATACGCTCCCAAGTATCTTTTAGTGGATTCTACAAAAACAGAGTTGCCAACCAGCTCCATCAAAAGAAACCTTTAAATCTGTGAGATGAATGCACACATCAAAAATCTGTTTCTCAGAAAGTTTCCTTCTTGTTTTTCTCCAAAGATATTTCCATTCATATCATAAGCCTCAATGTGCTCCCAAATAGCCCTTCACACATTCGACTAAAACATTGTTTTAAAACAGTTCCAAAAAACGAAAATTTTACCTCTGTGAGATGAATGCACACATCACAAACAGGTTTCTCAGAAAGTTTCTTTCTATTTTTTGCTAAAGATATTTCGTTTTTCACCATAGGCCTCAATATGCTCACAAATATCCCTTTGCAGATTCCAAAAAAACAGTGTTTCCAAACTGCTCAATCAAAAGAAATGTTTAACTCTCTGACCTGGATGCACACATCACAAAGTAGTTTCACAGAAAGCTTCTTTCTAGCTTTTCACTAAAGATATTTCCTTTTTAACCATGGGCCTCTATATGCTCCCAAATATCCCTTCACCAATTCTACAAAACTAGTGTTTCCACAGAGCTCCATCAAAAGGAAAGTTTAATTCTGTGAGATGAATGCACACATCACAAATCAGTTCCTCAGAAAACTTCTTTCTAGTTTTTATGTAAAGATATTTCTTTTTCACCACAGGCCACAACATGCTCTGAAATATCCCTTCGCATAGTCTAGAAAAACAGGGTTTCCCAACAGCTCCAACAAAAGAAAGGTTTACCTCTCTGTGATGAATGCAAACATCACAAATCAGTTTCTCAGAAAGCTTCCTTATAGTTTTTCTCTAAAGATATTTCCTTTTTCACCACAGACCTCAATGTGTTCCTTAATGTGCATTCACAGAATCTACAAAACAGTGTTTCCAAACTGCTCCACTAAAGGAAAATTTAATTCTGTGATCTGAAAAGACACATCACAAAGCAGTTTCTCAGAAAGTTTATTTTCAGTTTTTCTCTAAAGATATTTCCTTTTTCATCATAGGCCAAAATGCACTCCAAAATGTCCCTTAGCAGATTCTACAAAAAAAGTGTTTCCAAACTGCTCCACCAAAAGAAAGTTAATCTCTGTGAGATGAATGCACACATCACAAAGTAGTTTCTATGGAATCTTCTTTCTAGTTTTTATGTGAAGATATTTCCTTTTTAACCATAAGCAACAATGTGCTTCGAAATATTCCTTCACAGATTCTATAGAAACAGTGTTTTCAAACTGCTCAACAAAGACAAAGGTTTGAGTCTGTTAGATGACAGCATGCATCATAAAGCAATTTCTCAGAAAGCTTGTTTCTCTTTTTTCTCTGAAGATATTTCCTTTTTCACCATAGGCCTCAAGACACTCCTAAATATCACTTCCCAGATTCTGGAAAAATAGTGTTTTCAAACAACTCCATCAATAGAAAAGTTTAACTGTTAGATGAATGGACACATCACAAATCCGTTTCTCAGAAAGCTTATTTTTAGTTTTTCCCTAAAGATATTTCATTTTTCACCACAGGCCTCAATGCACTGTCAAATATCCTTTCACATAATCTACAATAACAGTCTTTCCAAACTGCTCCTGCAAAAGAAAGGTTTAACTCTGTGAGATGAATGCACATATCTCAAAGCAGTTTCTCAGAAAGCGTCTTTGAAGTTTTTATGATTTATTTTGTTTTTCAACATAGGCCTCAATGTGCTCCCAAATATCCTTTTGCATATGCCACAAAAACAGTGTTTCCAAACCACTGCATTGAAAGGAAAGTTTAACTCTGTGAGGTGAATGCACCCATCTCAAAGCTGTTTCTCAGAATACTTCTTTCTTGATTTTTTCTGAAGATATTTCCTTTTTCACCATAGTTTAACTCTGTGAGATGAATGCATACATCACAAAGATGTTTCTCAGAAAGACTCTTTCTAGTTTTTATCTGAAATTATTTACTTTTTCACCATAGACCTTGTGCATCCCAAATATATTTTCACAGATTCTAAAAAAACATTGTTTACAAGCTGATCAATCCAAACAAAGGTTTAACACTCTGAGATGAATGCACACATCACAAAGTAGTTTCTCAAAATGCTCTTTTCTAGTTTTCATTCGAAGATATTTCCTTTTTCACCATAGGCTTTACAGCGCTCTGAAATGTGCTGTCACACATTCAACAAAAACAGTGTTTCCAAACTGCTCAATCAAAAGAGAGTTTTACCTCTGTGAGATGAATGCACACATCACAAAGCAGTTTCTCAGAAAGCTCTTTCTAGTTTTTAGCTGAAGATATTTCCTTTGTCATCATAGGCCTCATTGCACTCCCAAATATCCATCACAGATTCTACAAAACAGTGTTTCCATACTGCCTACTCAAAAGATAAGTTTAACTCTGTGATAAGAATGCACACATCGCAAATTGGTTTAACAGAAAGCTTCTTTCTAGTTTTTTTCTGAAGTTATTTCCTTTTTCTCCATAGGCTTCAATGCAAAAGAGTATTTCCAAACTCTTCCATCTAAAGGACTTAACTCCAGGAGATGAAGGCACACATCAGAAAGCAGTTCCTCATAATGCTTCTTTCCACTTCTTATCTGAAGATATTTTCTTGTTCACCATAGTCCTTTTTACACTGCATAACATTGCTTCACAGATTCTACAAAAACAGTGTTTCCAAACTGATCTATCAAAACAAAGGTTTAAGTTGGTGAGATGAATGCACACATCACAAAGCAGTTTCTCAAAAAGCTTCTTTCTCGTTTTTATCTGAAGTTATTTCCTTTTTCACCATAGGCTTTGATGCACTCACAAATATCCCTTCACAGTTTCTACAAAACCGTGTTTCCAAACTGCTCATTCAAGAGACAGGTTTAACTCTGTGAGACGAATGCACACATCAAAAACAGTTTCTCAGAAAACTTCCGTCTAGTTCTTCTCTGAAGATTTTTCCTTTTCTAACATAGGCTTCAATGTGCTCCAACATATCCTGTCACAGATTCTAAAAAACAGTGTTTCCAAACAGCTCAATCAAACAAAAAAAAAAATGTTTAACTCTGTGAGATGAATGTACACATCACAAAGCAGTTTCTCAAAAAGGTTCTTTCTAGTTTTTATCTGAAGATATTTCCTTTTTCACCATAAGCTTCAATATGCCTATGATAAAATAAGCAATGATACAAACTAGACTGAAGCTTTATGAGGAACTTCTTTGTGATGTGTGCAATCATCTCACAGAGTTAAACCTTTCTTTTCATTGAGCAGTTTGGAAACTGGAATCTGCAAAGGGATATTTGTGAGCACTTTGAGGCCTATGGTGAAAAAGGAAATATCCTCACATAAAAACTAGAAAGGAGCTTTCTTAGAAACTGCTTTGTGTTGTGCACATTCATCTCACAGATTTAAACGTTTATTTTCACTGAGCAGTTTGGAAACTCTGTTCTTCTAGAATCTGCAAAGGGCTATTTGGGAGCGAAATGAGGCCTATGGTGAAAAAAGGAATTATCTCCTGATAGAAACTAGAAAGAAATTTTCTGAGAAATTTCTTTGTGATGTGTGCACTCATCTCACAGAGTTTAACCATTCTTTGAGCAGTTTGGAAACATGGTGTGTATAGAATCTGTGAAGAGATATTTGGATTTGCCTTGAGGCCTATGGTGACAAAGGAAATATCTTCTGATACAAACTAGACAGAAGCTTTCTGAGAAACTGCTTTGTGTTGTGTGCATTCATCTCACAGAGTTAAAAGTTTCTTTTCATTGAGCAGTTTGGAAACCTTGTTCTTCTAGAATCTGCAAAGGGATTTTTGGGAACACATTGAGGCCTATGGTGAAAAAGGAAATATCTTCCAATACAAACTGGAGAGTTTCTGAGAAAGTGCTTTCTGGTGAGTGTGTTCATCTGACAGAGTTTAACTGTTCTTTTGATTGAGAAGTTTGGAAACACAGTGTTTGTAGAATCTTTGAGGGGATATTTGGATTTGCATGGAGGCCTGGGGTGAAAAATGAAATATCTTCCAATACAAACTAGACAGAAGCTTTCTGAGATATTGCTTTGTGATGTGTACATTCATCTCACAGATTTGAACCACTGTTTTGATGATTCAGTTTGGAACCACTGTTTTTGTAGAGTCTACAAAGGGATATTTGGGAACCCTATCAGTCTTATGGTGAAAAAGGAAGTATCCTCACATAAAATCTAGAAAAGATCTTTCTAAGAAAGGGCTTTGTGATAAGTGCACTCATCCCACAGAGTTAAAACTTGATTTTGACTGAGCATTTTGGAAACACCGTTTTCATGGAATCTGAAAAGAGATATTTTGGAGTGCTTTCAGGCCTATGGTGAAAAAGGAAATGTTTTCACCTAAAAAGTCAAAGGAAGATTTCTGAGAAACTGCTCTGTGGTGTGTGAATTCCTCTCATAGAGTTCATCCATTCTTTTGATTGAGGACTTGAGGACCTTTGCAACCAATGTTTTTCTAGAATCTGCAAAGCAATATTTGTGAGTGCTTTGAGGCCTATGGTGAAAAAGGAAATATCTTCATGTAAAAACTAGACAGAAGCTTTCTGAGAAACTGCTTTGTCATGTGTGCATTCATCTCACCGACTTAAACCATTCTTGTGATTGAGCAGTTTGGAAACACAGTGTTTGTCGAGTCTGCAAAGGGATATTTGGATTTGCCTTGAGTCCTATGGTGACAAAGGAAATATCTTCTGATACAAACTAGACAGAAGCTTTCTGAGAAACTGCTTTGTGATGTGTGCATTCATCTCACATGGTTCAACGCTTCTTTTTATTGAGCAGTTTGGAAACTTTGTTCTTCTAGAATCTGCAAAGGGATTTTTGGGAACACATTGAGGCCTATGGTGAAAAAGGAAATATCTTCCAATACAAACTGGAGTTTCTGAGAAAGTGCTTTCTGGTGAGTGTGTTCATCTGACAGAGTTTAACTGTTCTTTTGATTGAGAAGTTTGGAAACATAGTGTTTGTAGTATCTACTTAGGGATATTTGGATTTGCATGGAGGCCTGTGATGATAAAGGAAATATCTTCTGATACAAACTAGACACAAGTTTTCTGAGAGACTGCTTTGTGATGTGTGCATTCATCTCACAGAGTTGAACGATTCTTTTGATAGAGCAGTTTGGAAACAACGTTTTTGTAGAACCTGTAAAGGGATAATTGGGAACTCTTTGAGTCTGATGGTGAAAAGGAAATATCCTCACATAAAAACTAGAAAGGAGCTTTCTGAGAAACTGCTTTGTGACATGTGTATTCATCTCACAGAGTTAAAATTTTATTTTGATTGCGCATTTTGGAAACACCATTTTTGTGAAATCTACAAAGGGATATTTGGGAGTGCTTTCACACCTATGGCAAAAAAGGAATGATCTTCACCTACAAACTGGAAGGAAGCTTTCTGAGAAACTTCTTTGTCATGTGTGCATTCCTCTCACAGAGCTGAACCATCCTTTTGATTGAGCGTTTTATAATCACCGTTTTTGTAGAATCTACAAAGGGATATTTGTGAGTGCTTTGGGTCCTGTGGTGAAAAAGGAAATATCCTCACAAAAAACTAGAAAGGAGCTTTCTTAGAAACTGCTTTGTGATCTATGCATTCATCTCAAAGAGTTAAACCATTCTTTTGATTGAGCAGTTTGGAAACACAGTGCTTGTAGAATCTGCGAAGAGATATTTGCTTTCGAATTGAGGCCAATGCTGACAAAGGAAGTATCTTCTGATACAAACTGGGCAGAAGCTTTCTGAGAAACTGCTTTGTGATGTGTGCATTCATCTCACAGAGTTAAATGTTTATTTTCATTTAGCAGTTTGGAAACTATGTTATTATAGAATTTGCAAAGGGATATTTAGGAGCTCATTGAGTCCTATTGTGAAAAAGAAAATACCTTCCGATACGAACTAGAAAGACAGTGTCTGAGAAACTGCTTTGTGATGTGTGCATTCATCTCACATTTTAACCATTCTTTTCATTGAGGGTTTGGAAACACACTGTCTGTGGAATCTGAGAGGGGATATTTGGATTCACATGGAGGCCTGTGGTGAAAAAGGAAATATCTTCCAATACAAACTAGATGGAAGCTTTCTGAGAAACTCCTTTTTGATGTTTGCATTCATGTCACAGAGCTGAACCATTCTTTTGATGGAGCTTTTGGAATCAATGTTTTTGTAGAATCTGCAAAGGGACACTTGGGAGCCTTTGAGTGTTATGTTGTAAAAGGAAATATCCTAACATAAAAACTAGAAAAGAGCTTTCTGAGAAACTGCTTTGTGATATGTGAAGTTAACTCACAGACTTAAAACTTCTTTTTGATTGAGCATCTTGGCAACACCGTTTTTGTAGAATCCTCAAAGGGACATTTGGGATCGCTTCCAGGCCTATGGTGAAAAAGGAAATATCTTCACCTAAAAACTCAAAGGAAGTTTTCTGAAAAACTACTTTGTGAAGTGAGCATTCCTCTCACAGAGTTGAACTAGTCTTTTTTTTTTTGAGCAGTTTGGAACCACTGTTTTTCAAGAATCTGCAAAGGAATATTTGGATTCACCTTGCAGCCTATGATGACAAAGGAATTATCTTCTGATACAAACTAGACAGAAGCATTCTGAGAAACTGCTTTGTGATGTGTGCATTCTCACAGAGTTCAACATTTCTTTTCATTGAGCAGATTGGAAACTCTGTCTTCTAGAATCTGCAAAGGGATATTTGGGAGTGCATTGAGGCCTATGGTGAAAAAGGAAATATCTTCCAATACAAACTAGAAAGAGAAGGGTCTGAGAAACTGCTTTACTTTGTGTGCGTTCATCTCACATAGTTGAACCATTATTTGATGGAGCAGTGTGGAACCAATGTTTTTCTAGAATCTGAAAGTGATATTTGTGAGCACTTTGAGGCCTCTGGGTAAAAAGGAAATATCTTCCGATACCAACTAGAAAGAAGCTTTCTGAGGGATTGCTTTGTGATGTGTGTATTCATCTCACAGAGGTGAACAATTCTTTTGATGGAGCAGTTTGGAACCTCTGTTTTTGTAGAATCTGCAAAGTGATATTTGGGAGCCCTTTCAGTCTTATGGTGAAAAAGGAAATATCCTCACATAAAAACTAGAAAGGAGCTTTTTGAGAAACGGCTTTGTTACATGTGCACTCATCTCACAGAGTTAAAAGTTTCTTTTGATTAAATATTTTGGAAACACTGATTTTGTAGAATCTGCAAAGGGATATTTGGGAGCACTTTCAGGCCTTTGGTGGAAAAGGAAATATCTACACCTAAAAACTCGAAGGAAGGTTTCTGAGAAACTGCTTTGTGATGTGTGCATTCCTCTCACAGAGGTGAACCATTCTTTTGATTGAGCAGTTTGCACCCAGTGTTTTTCTAGAATCTGCATAGTGATATTTGTGAACACTCTGAGGCCTATGGTGAAAAAGGAAATATCCTCACATAAAAACTAGAAAGGAGCTTTCCTAGAAACTGCTTTGTGATCTGTGCATTCAATTCATCTCACAGAGATAAACCATTCTTTAGATTGAGCAGTTTGGAAACTCAGTGTTTGTAGAGTCTGCGAAGGGATATTTGGATTCTCCTTGAGGCCTATGGTAACAAAGGAAATATCTTCTGATACAAACTAGCAGAAGCTTTCTGAGAGACTGCTTTATCATGTGTGCATTCATCTCACAAAGTTGAACAATTCTTTTGTTGGAGCAGATTGGAACCACTGTTTTTGTGGTATCTCCAAAGGATATTTGGGAGCCCTTGGAGTATTATGGTGAAAAAGGAAATATTTTTTCTTTTTTTTATTATACTTTAAGTTTTAGGGTACATGTGCACATTGTGCAGGTTAGTTACATATGTATACATGTGCCATGCTGGTGCGCTGCACCCACTAACTCGTCATCTAGCATTAGGTATATCTCCCAATGCTATCCCTCCCCCTTCCTCCCACCCCACAACAGTCCCCTGAGCGTGATATTCCCCTTCCTGTGTCCATGTGATCTCATTGTTCAATACCCACCTATGAGTGAGAATATGTGGTGTTTGGTTTTTTGTTCTTGTGATAGTTTACTGAGAATGATGATTTCCAATTTCATCCATGTCCCCACAAAGGACATGAACTCATCATTTTTTATGGCTGCATAGTATTCCATGGTGTATATGTGCCACATTTTCTTAATCCAGTCTATCATTGTTGGACATTTGGGTTGGTTCCAAGTCTTTGCTATTGTTAATAATGCCACAATAAACATACGTGTGCATGTGTCTTTATAGCAGCATGATTTATAGTCCTTTGGGTATATACCCAGTAACAGGATGGCTTAAAAACTAGAAAGGAACTTTCTGAGAAACTTATTTGTGATATGTGCACTCATCACACAGAGATAAAACTTTCTTTTGATTGAGCATTTTGGAAACACCGTTTTTGTACAATCTGCAAAGGGATATTTGGGAGCACACTGATGCGTATTGTGAAAAATGAAATATCTTCTGATACAAACTAGAAAGAAAGTGTCTGAGAAATTGCTTTCTGAAGTGTGCATTCATCTCACAAAGTTTAACCATTCTTTTCATTGACAGTTTGGAAACACAGTGTTTGTAGAATCTACAAAGGGATATTTGCATTCACATGGAGGCCTGTGGTGAAAAAGGAAATATCTTCCAATACAAACTAAACAGAAGCTTTCTGAGAGACTGCTTTGTGATGTGTGCATTCATCTTACAGAGATGAACCATTCTTTTGATGGAGTAGTTTGGAATCACTGTTTTTGTACAATCTGCAAAGGGATATTTTGGAATCCTTTGAGTCTTATGGTTAAAAAATGAAATATCCTCACATAAAAACTAGAAAGGAGCTTTCTTAGAAACTGTTTTGTGATCTGTGTGTTCATCTCACTGACTTAAACCATTCTTTTGATAGAGCAGTTTGGAAAGAGTGTTTGCAGAATCTGCAAAAGGATATTTGTATTCACCTTGAGGCATATGGTGACAAAGGAAATATCTTCTGATACAAACTGGACAGAGGCTTTCTGAGAAACTACTTTGTGGTGTGTGAATTCATCTCACAGAGTTAAAAGTTTGTTTTCACTGAGCACTTTGGAAACTCTCTTCTTCTAGAATCTGCAAAGGGATATTTGAGAGCACACTGAGCCCTATGGTGAAAAAGTAAATATCTTCCCATACAAACAAGAAAGAGACTTTCTGAGAAATTGGTTTGTGATATAGGCATTCATCTCACAGAGCTTAACCATTGTTTTGATTGAGCAGTTTAGAAACGAAGTGTTTGTAGAATCTGCAAAGGGATATCTGGATTTGCATGGAGGCCTGTGATGAAAAAGGAAACATCTTCTGAGACAAACTAGGCAGAAGCTTTCCGAGAAACTGCTTTGTGATGTGTGCATTCATCTCACAGAGTTAAACGTTTCTTTTCATTGAGCAGTTTGGAAACTCTGTTCTTCCAGTATCTTAAAAGGGATATTTGGGAGTGCATTGAGGCCTATGGTGAAAAGGTGTATATCCCAATAGAAACTAGAAAGAAAGTTTCTGAGAAATTGCTTTGGATGTGTGCATTCATCTCAAAGAATTTAAAGATTCTTTTCATTCAGCAGTTTGGAAACACAGTGTTTGTAGAATCTGAGAGGGATATTTTGATTCCCATGGAGGCCAGTGGTGAAAAAGGAAATATCTTACAAAACAAACTAGACAGAAGCTTTCTGAGAAACTGCTTTTTGATGTGAGCATTCTTCTCACAGAGTCGAACCATTCTTTTGATTGAGCACTTTGGCCCCACTGTTTTTGTGGAATCTGAAAAGGGATATTTGGGAGCGCTTTGAGACTTATGGTGAAAAAGGAAATATCTTCACACAAAAACTAGGAAGAAGCTTTTTGAGAAACTGTTTTGTGATGTGTGCATTCCTCTAACAGAGTTGAACCATGCTTTTGATTGAGCAGCTTTTGACCACTGTTTTTCTAGACTCTGCAATGGGATATTTTTGAGTGCTTTGAGGCCTATGGTGAGAAAGGAAATATCCTTACATAAAAGCTAGAAAGGAGCTTTCTTAGAAACTGCTTTGTGATCAGTGCAATCATCTCACAGAGTTAAACCATTCCTTTGATTGAGCAGTTTGGGAACATAGTGTTTGTAGAATCTGTGAAGGGATATTTGGATTCACCTTCAGGCCTATGGTGACAAAGGAAATATCTTCTGATACAAACTAGACAGAAGCTTTAAGAGAAACTGCTCTGTGATGTGTGCATTTATCTCACAGAGGTAAATGTCTCTTTTTATTGAGTAGATTGGAAACTATGTAATTCTAGAATCTGCAAAGGGATATTTTAGGGCACATTGAGGCCTAGGGTGAAAAAGGAAATATCTTCCAATACAAACTAGAGAGAAAGTTTCTGAGAAATTGCTTTGTGATGTGCAGATACATCTCAGAGAGTTTAACCATTCTTTGATTGAGTAATTTGGAAACACAGTGATTGTAGAATCTGTGAACAGATATTTGGATTCACATGGAGGCCTGTGGTGATAAAGCTAATATCTTCTGATACAAATTAGACAGAAGATTTCTGAGAAATTTCTTTGTGATATGTGCATTGATCTCATGGGGGTAAATGCTTCTTTTCATTGAGTGGTATAGAAACTCTGTTCTTCTAGAGTCTGAAAAGGGGTATTTGGGAGAGCACTGATAGCTAAGATGAAAAAGGAAATATCTTCCGATACAAACTAGAAAGAAAGTTTCTGAGAAACTGCTTTGTGATGTGTGCCTTCATCTCACAGAGTTGAACCATTCTTTTGATTGAGCACTTTGGAAGCACTGTTTTTGTAGAATCTGCAAATGGATATTTGGGAGCCCTTTGAGGCCTATGGTGAGTAAGGAATTAACTTCACATAAAAACTAGGTAGAGGCTCTCTTAGAAACTACCTTGTGATGTGTGCATTCCTCTAACAGAGTTGAACCAAGCTTTTGATTGGGCAGTCTGGAACCTCTGTTTTTGTAGAATCTGCAAAGAGATATTTGTGAGCACTTTGAGGCCTATGGTGTAAAAGGAAACATCCTCACAGAAAAACTAGAAAGGAGCTTTCTTAGAAACTGCTTTGTGATCTATGCATTCGTCTCACAGAGTTAAACCATTCTTTTGTTTGAGCAGTTTGGAAACACAGTGTTTGTAGAATCTGAGTAGGGATATTTGGATTCACCTTGAGGACTATGGTGAAAAAGGAAATATTTTCTGATACAAACTGTATGTCAGCTATCTGAGAAACTACTTTGATGTGTGCATTCATCTCTCAGAGGTAAACCTTTCTTTTCATTGTGCAGTTTGGAAAATCTGTAATTCTAGAATCAGCAAAAGATATTTGGGAGTGCATTAAGGCCTATGGTGAAAAAGGGAATACCTTCCAATAGAAACCAGAAAGAAAGATTCTGAGAAATTGCTTTATGATGTGTGCATTCATCTCACAGGGTTTAAACATTCTTTTGTTTGAGCATTTTGGAAACACAGTGTTTGTAAAATCTGTGAAGGGATATTTGGATTCCCATGGAGACCTGTTGTGAAAAAGTAAATATCTTCTGATAGAAACTAGACAGAAGCTTTCTGAGAAACTGCTTTGTGATGTGTGCATTCATCTCACAGAGTTAAAAATTTTTTTGATTGAGCATTTTAGCAACACTGTTTTTGTAGAATTTGTGGAGGGATATTTGGGAGTGCTTTGAGGCCTACAGTGAAAAAGGAAATATCGTCACATAAAAACTAGAAAGAAGCATTCTGAGAAACTACTTTGCAATCTGTGCATTCATCTCACATAGTTAAAAGCTTCCTTTGAGCAGTTTGGAAGAAAAGTGTTTGTAGAATCTGTGAAGGGATATTTGGATTCACCTTGAGGCATATGGTGACAAAGGAAATATCTTCCAACAGAAACCAGACAGAAACTTTCTGAGAAACTGCTTTGTGATGTGTGTATTTGTCTCACTGAGTTTAACCATTGTTTTGATTGAGCAGTTTGGAACCACAGTTTTTGTAGAATATGCAAAGGGATATTTGGAAGGACTTTGAGGCCTATGGTGACAAAGGAAATATCTTCCCCTAAAAACTAGAAAGAACCTTTCAGAGAAACTGCTTTGTGATGTGTGCATTCATTTCACAGGGTGAATCGTTCCCTTGATTGAGCAGTTTGGAACCACTGTTTTTCTAGGGCCTGCAAAAGGGATATTTGTGAGTGCTTTGAGGCCTCCTGTAAAAAGGAAATATCCTCACATAAAAACTAGAAAGAATCTTTCTGAGAAACTGCTTTGTGATGTGTGCATTCATCTCACAGAGGTAAACATTTCTTTTCATTGAGCAGTTTGGAAACTCTGTTCTTGTAGAATCTGCAAAGGGATTTTTGTCAGTGTTTCGAGGCCTATGGTGAAAAAGGAAATATCTTCCAATAAAAACTAGACAGAAACTTTCTAAGAAACTGCTTTGTGATGTGTGCATTCATCTGACAGAGTTGAACCATTCTTTTGATTGAGCAGTTTGGAACCACTGTTTTTGTAGAATCTGCAAAGGGATATTTTGGAGCCCTTTGGGTCTTAGGGTGAAAAAGGAAATATCCTCACATAAAAACTAGAAAGGAAGCTTCTGAGAAACTGCTTTGTGATATGTACATTCATCTCATGGAGTTAAACCTTTCTTTTGATTGAGCATTTTGGAATCAATTTTTTGTAGAATCTACAATGGGATATTTGGGAGTGCTTTGAGGCCTATGGTGAAAAAGGAAATATCTTCCAATAAAAACTAGACAGAAACTTTCTGAGAAACTGCTTGGTGATGTGTGCATTCATCTCACAGAATTGAACCATTCTTTTGATTGAGCAGTTTGGAACCACTGTTTTTGTAGAATCTGCAAAGGGATATTTTGTAGCCCTTTGGGTCTTAGGGTGAAAAAGGAAACATCCTCCCATAAAAACTAGAAAGGAGCCTTCTGAGAAACTGCTTTGTGATATGTTCATTCATTTCATGGAGTTAAAATTTTCTTTTGATGGAGCATTTTGGAATCAACTTTTTGTAGAATCTGCAATGGGATATTTGGGAGCACTTTGAGGCCTATGGCAAAAAAGGAAAAATCTTCACATAAAAACTAGAAAGAATATTTCTGAGAAACTCCTTTGTGATGTGTGCATTCCCTTAACAGAGTTGAACCACTTTTTTGATTGAGAAGTTTGGAACCACTGTTGTTCTAGAATCTGAAAGGGGTTATTTATGAGCACTTTGAGGCCTATGGTGAAAAGGAAATATCTTCAGAGAAAAACTAGAAAGAAACTTTCTGAGAAACTACTCTGTGATTTGTGCATTCATCTCACAAAGCTAAACATTTCTTTCATGGATCAGTTTGTTAAGTCTGTTTTCATATAAACAACGAGGGATATTTCAGAAAACATTGATGCCAACCATGAAAATGGAAATATCCTGAGACAAAAAGTAGAATGAAGCTTTTTGGGAAACTGCTTTGTGATGTGTGTATTCATCTCACTGAGATAAACTTTTCTTTTAATGGAGCAGTTTGGAAACACTGTATTTGTAGAATCCTTGAAGGGATATTTAGGATTGCTTTGGGGCCCATTGTCAGAAACAAAATATCTTAAGAGAAAATTTAGAAAGAAGCATTCTGAGAAACTGCTTTGTGATGTGTGCATTCAACTCACAGAGTTAAATGTTTCTTTTCATAGAGCAGTTTGGAAATTCTGTTCTTCTGGAATCTTCAAATGGATATTTGGGAGAGCCATGAGGCCTATGGTGAAAAACAAAATATCTTCCAATACAAACTGGAAAGAAAGTTTCTGAGAAACTGCTGTGTGATGTGTGCATTCGTCTCAAAGATTTTAACCATTTTTTTCATTGAGGAGTTTGGAAAGAGTGTTTGCAGAATTTGCGAAGGGGTATATGGATTTGCAGGAAGGCCTGTGGTGAAAAGGAAAATATCTTTCAATATAAACTAGAGAGAAGCTTTCTGAGAAACTGCTTTGTGACATGTGCATTCATCTCAGAGTTGAACCATTCTTTTGATGGAGCAGTTTGGAAACACTGTTTTTGTAGAATCTGCAAAGGGATATTTTGGAGCCCTTTGATTCTTATGGTGAAAAAGTAAATATCCTTAGAGAAAAACTAGAAAGGAGCCTACTGAGAAACTGCTTTGTGATATGTGCATTCACCTCTCAGAGTTAAAACTTTGATTGAACATTTTGGAAAAACTGTTTTTCTTGAATCTACAAAAGGGATATTTGAGAGCACTTTGAGGCCTATGGTGAAAAGGTAAATGTCTTCACTTAAAAAGTAGAAAGAAGGTTTCTGAGAAACTGCTTTGTGATGTGTTCATTCCTCTAAGAGAGTTGAACCATTCTTTTGATTGAGTAGTTTGGAACCACTGTTTTTCTAGAATCTGAAAAGGGATATTTGTGAGTGCTTTGAGGCCTATGGTGAAAAAGGAAATATCCTCCCATAAAAGCTAGAAAGGAACTTTCTTTGAAACTGCTTTGTGATCCGTGCATTCATCTCACAGAGTTAAAGAATACTTTGATTGAGTAGTCTGGAAACTTAGTGTTTGTAGAATCTGCAAAGGGATATTGGATGTGCCTTAAAACCCATGGTGACAAAGGAAATATCTTCTCATACAGACTAGACAGAAGCTTTCTGAGAAAATGCATTGTGATGTGTGCATTCACATCACAGAGTTGAACCATTCTTTTGATTGAGCAGTTTGGAACCACTGTTCTTGTAGAACCTTCAAATGGATATTTTGGAGCACTTTGAGTCTTATGGTGAAAAAGGAAATATCATCACATAAAAACTAGAAAGGAGCTTTCTGAGGAACAGCTTTGTGATATGTGCTTTCACATATCAGAAAATATTTCTGTGCAGCTTTGTTACATATGCATACATGTGCCATGTTGGTGTGATGCACCCATTAACTCATCATTTAGCATTAGGTATATCTCCCAATGCTATCCCTCCCCACTCCCCCCACCCCTCAACAGTCCCCAGTGTGTGATGTTCCCCTTCCTGTGTCCATGTGTTCTCTTTGTTCAATGCCCACCTATGAATGAGAACATGCAGTGTTTGGTTTTTTGTCCTTGCAATAGTTTGCTGAGAATGATGGTTTCCAGCTTCATCCATGTCCCTACAAAGGACATGAACTCAACATTTTTTATGGCTGCATAGTATTCCATTGTGTATATGTGCCACATTTTCTTAATCCAGTTTATTGTTATTGGACATTTGGGTTGGTTCCAAGTCCTTGCTATTGTGCATAGTGCCACAATAAACATATGTGTGCATGTGTCTTTATAGCAGCATGATTTATAATCCTTTGGGTATATACCCAGTAATGGGATGGCTGGGTCAAATGGTATTTCTAGATCTAGATCCCTGAGGAATCACCACACTGACTTCCACAATGCTTGAGCTAGTTTACAGTCCCACCAACAGTGTAAAAGCATACCTATTTCTCCACATCCTCTCCAGCACCTGTTATTTCCTGACTTTTTAATGATCACCATTCTAACTGGTGTGAGATGGTATCTCATTGTGGTTTTGATTTGCATTTCTCTGACGGCCAGTGATGATGAATATTTTTTCATGTGTTTTTTGGCTGCTTAAATGTCTTCTTTTGAGAAGTTTCTGTTCATATCCTTTGACTACTTTTTGATGGGGTTGTTTGTTTTTTTTTCTTGTAAATTTGTTTGAATTCATTGTAGATTCTGGATATTAACCATTTGCCAGATGAGTAGGTTGCAAAAATTTTCTCCCATTCTGTAGGTTGCCTGTTCACTCTGATGGTAGTTTCTTTTGCTGTGCAAAAGGTCTTTAGTTTAATCAGATCCCATTTGTCAATTGTTGCTTTTGTTGCCATTGCTTTTGGTGTTTTAGACATGAAGTCCTTGCCCATGCCTATGTCCTGAATGGTATTTCCTAGGTTTTCTTCTAGGGTTTTTATGGTTTTAGGTCGAAGTTTTAAGTCTTTAATCCATCTTGAATTAATTTTTGTATAAGGTGTAAGGAAGGGATCCAGTTTCAGCTTTCTACATATGGCTAGCCAGTTTTCCCAGCACCACTTATTAAATAGGGAATCCTTTCCCCAGTGTTTGTTTTTTTTCAGGTTTGTCAAAGGTCAGGTAGTTGTTGATATGTGGCATTATTTCTGAGGGCTCTGTTCTGCTCCATTTGTCTGTATCTCTGTTTTGGTACTATTATCATGCTGTTTTGGTTACTGTAGCCTTGTAGTATAGTTTGAAGTCAGATAGCTTGATGCCTCCAGCTTTGTTCTTTTTGCTTAGGATGGACTTGTCAATGTGGGCTTTTTTTTTGGTTCCATATGAAAGCCTGGCAGAGACACAACAAATAAAGAGAATTTTAGATGAATATCCTTGATGAACATTGATGTAAAAATCCTCAATAAAATACTGGCAAACCAAATCCAGCAGCACATCAAAAAGCTTATCCACCATGATAAATTGGGCTTCATCCTTTTGATGCAAGGCTGGTTCAGCATAAAAAGTCAATAAATGTAATCCAGTATACAAGCAGAACCAAAGACAAAAACCACATGATTATCTCAATAGATGCAGAAAAGCCCTTTTACATAATTCAACAACACTTCATGCTAAAAACTCTCAATAAATTAGGTATTGCTGGGACGTATCTTAAAATGATAAGAGCTGTCTATGACAAACCCACAGCCAATATCATACTGAATGGACAAAAACTGGAAACATTCCCTTTGAAAACTGGCACAAGGCAGGGATACCCTCTCTCACTACTCCTATTCAACATAGTGTTGGTAGTTCTGGCCAGGGCAATCAGGCAGGAGATGAAAATAGAGGGTATTCAGTTAGGAAAAGAGGAAGCCAAATTGTCCCTGTTTGCAGATGACATGATTGTATATCTAGAAAACCCCATCATCTCAACCCAAAATCTCCTTAAGCTGATAAGCAACTTCAGCAAAGTCTCAGGATACAAAATCAATGTGCAAAAATCACAAGAATTCTTATACACCAATAACAGACAGAGAGCCAAATCATGAGTGAACACCAATCCACAACTGCTTCAAAGAGAATAAAATACCTAGGAATCCAACTTACAAGGGATGTGAAAGACCTCTTCAAGTAGAACTTCAAACCACTGCTCACTGAAATAAAAGAGGATACAAACAAATGGAAGAACATTCCATGCTCATGGGCAGGAATAATCGATATCATGAAAATGGCCATACTGCCCAAGGTAATTTATAGATTCAATGACATCCCCATCAAGCTACCAATGACTTTCTTCACAGAATTGATTTAGCAGTATTGAACCACTGCTTTTGTAGGATCTGCAAAGGTATATTTTGGAGCCCTTTGAGTCTTATGGTGAAAGAAGAAATATCCTCACATAAAAACTTGAAAGGAACTTTCTGAAAAACTACTTTGTGATATGTGCATTCATCTCACCAAGTTAAAACTTTCTTTTCATTGAGCATTTTGGAAACACTGTTTTGTAGAATCTGCAAAGAGATACAATGGAGCTCTTTGAGGACTATGGTGAAAAAAGAAATATCTTAAAATAAAAACTAGAAAGAAGCTCATTGAGAAACTGTTTTGCGATGTGTGTTCTCCACTAACAGAGTTGAACAATTCTTTTGATTGAGCAGTTAGAAACCATTTTTTTTAATATCTGCAAAGGGATATTTCTGAGCCCTTTGAGGACTGTGGTGAAAAAGGAAATATCCTTACATAAAAACTAAAAAGGAGCTTTCTTAGAAACTGCTTTGTTATCTGTGCATTCTCACACAGATAAACCCTTCTTTTGATTGAGCAGTTTGGAAAAACAGTGTTTGTAGAATCTGCTAAGGGATATTTGGATTCTCCTTGAGGCCTGTGGTGATAAAGGAAACATCTTCTGAGACGAACTAGATAGAAGCTTTCTGAGAAACTTCCTTGTGATGTGTGCATTCATCTCACAGAATTAAACGTCTCTTTTCATTGAGCAGTTTGGAAAGTCTCTTCTTCTAGAATCTGCAACGTGATATTTGGGAGTGCATTGAGGCCTATGGTGAAAAAGGAAATACCTTCCGATACAAACTAGAAAGAAAGTTTCTGAGAAACTGCTTTATGATGTGTGCATTCATCTCAGAGAGTTTAAGCATTCTTTTGATTGAGCAATTTGGAAACCCAGTATTTGAAGAATCTGTGAAGGGATATTTGGATTCGCATGGAGGCCTGTGTTGAAAAAGGAAATATCTTCTGATACAAACTAAAAGGAAGTTTTCTGAGAAACTGCTTTGTGATGTGTGCATTTATCTCACAGAGTTAAAACTTTTTTTTTGATTCAGCAGTTTGCAATCACTGTTTTCTTGAATCTGTGAAGGGATATTTGGGAGCACATTAAGGCCTGTGGTGAAAAGAGAAATATCTTCAGAGAAAAACTAGAAAGAAAGTTCCTGAGAAACTGCTTTCTGATGTGTCCATTCATTTCACAGAGTTAAACTGTTCCTTTGAAGGAACAGTTTGAAAACACTGTATTTGTAGAAACTGCGAAGCTATATTTGAGAGCACTTTCTGGCCTATGGTGAAAAGGGGAAATATCTTCAGATAAACACTAGACAGAAGCTTTCTTAGAAACTCCTTTGTAATGTGTGCTTTCATCTCACAGAATTAAACCTTTCTTTTGATGGAGTAGTTTGTAAACACTTTTTCGTATAATCGGTGAAGGGACATTTCAGTGTTCATTGAGTCCTATGGTGAAAAGGAAATATCTTCAGAGAGAAACTAGAAAGAAACTTTCTGAGAAACTACTTTGTGATTTGTGCATTCATCTCACAGAGCTAAACCTTTCTTTGATGGAGCAGTTTGTTAAGCCTGTTTTTGTATAAATGACGAAGGATATTTCGGAAAACATTGAGGCCAACCGTGAAAATGGAAATATCCTGAGACAAAAACTAGAATAAAACTTTCTGAGAAACTGCTTTGTGTTGTGTGCACTCATCTCACTGAGATAAAACTTTCTTTTAATGGAGCAATTTGGAAACACTGTATTTGTAGAATCCCCAAAGGATATATAAGAGTGCTTTGGGGCCCATTGTGAGAAACAAAATATCTTAAGAGAAAAATTAGAAAGAAGCTTTCTGAGAAACTGCTTTGCGATGTGTGCATTCAACTCACAGGGTTAAACGTTTCTTTTGATGGAACAGTTTGGAATCATTGTTTTTGTACAATCTGCAAAGGGATATTTGCTATCGCATTAAGGCCTGTGGTGAAAAGAGAAATATCTTGACAGTAAAACTAGAAAGCAGCTTTCTGAGAAACTGCTTGGAGATGTGTCTGTTGACCTCACAGCGTTAAATGTTTCCTTTGAAGGAGGACTTTGAAAACTTTGTATTTGTAGAATCTGTGAAGCCGTATTTGGGAGCGCTTTCAAACCTATGGTGAAAAGGGAAATATCTTCAGATAAACACTAGTCAGAGGCTTTCTGAGAAACTTCTTTGTGTTGTGTGCATTCATCTCACAGAGTTAAACCATTCTTTTGATGGAGCAGTTTGTTCCACTTATTTTTGTATACATGGTGAAGGGATATTTCAGAGCACTTTGAGGCCTACAGTCAACATGGAAATATCTTCAGACAAAAACTAGAATGAAGCTTTCTGAGAAACTTCTTTTAAATGTGTGCATTCATCTCACAGAGTTAAAGCTTCCTTTTGTTGGAGCAGTTTGGAGTCACTGTTTTTGTAGAATCTGCAAAGGGATATTTGGGAGCACCTTAAGGCCTGTGGTGGAAGGAGAAATATCTTCAAAGAAAAACTAGAAAGGAGCTTTCTGAGAAACTGCTTTCCTATGTGTCCCTTCATTTCACAGAGTTAAACATTTCCTTTGAAGGAGCAGTTTGAAAACATTGTATTTGCACAATCTGCAAAGCCATATTTGGGAACGCTTTCATGCCTATGGTGAAAAGGGAAATATCTTCGGATGAAAACTAGGCTGAAATTTTCTGAGAACCTGTTCTGTGATGTGTGCTTTCATCTCAAAGAATTAAACCTTTCTTTTGATGGAGTAGTTTGTAGACTCTGTTTTTGTATAATCGGCCAAGTGACTTTTGGGAGCTCATTGAGTCCTAGGGTGAAAAGGAAATATCTTCAGAGAAAAACTAGAAAGAAACTTTCTGTGAAATTACTCTGTGACTTGCGAATTTATCTCACAGAGTTTAACATTTCTTTTGATGGAGCAGTTTCTTAACCCTGTTTCTTTATAAACCGCGAAGTGATATTTCAGAGCACATTGAGGCCTATGATGAAAATGGAAGTATCTTTAGAATAAAACTATAATGAAGCATTCTGAGAAACAGCTTTGTGATGTGTGCATTCATCTCACGGAGATAAACATTTCTTTTGCTGCAACAGTTTGGAAACAGTCTTTATGGAGAATCTGCAAAGGGATATTTGTGAGCAGTTTGAGGCCTATGGAGAAAAAGAACATATCTTCACATAAAAACTAGACAGAAGCTTTCTGAGAGACCTCTTTGTGATGTTTGCATTCATCTCACAAAGTTGAACCTTTCTTTTGATTGAGCAGTTTGGAAACAGTCTTTTTGTATTATCTGCAAAGGGATATTTGTGAGCGGTATGAGACCTATGGGGAAAAAGGAAGTATCTTCACGTAAAAACTAGACAGAAGCTTTCTGAGAAACTGCTTTGTGATGTACACATTCATTTCACAGAGTTAATCCTTTCCTTTGAAGGAACAGTTTGAAAACACTGTATTTGTAGAATCTGCAAAGCCACATTTGGTAGTGCTTTCAGGCCTATGGTGAAAAGGGAAATATGTCCAGATAAACACTAGATAGAAGCTTTCTGAGAAACTGCTTTGTGATGTGTGCTTTCATCTCATAGAGTTAAAGATTTCTTTTGATGGAGTAGTTTGTAAACACCGTTTTTGTAGAATCTGTGAAGTGATATTTCAGAGTGCTTGAGGCCTATTTTGAAAAAGGAAATATCTTCAGAGAAAAACAGAGTTAAACATTTCTTTTGATAGAGCAGTTTGGAATCACTGTTTTTGTAGAATCAGCAAAGGGATATTTGGGAGCACATTAAGGCCTGCAGTGAAAAGAGAAATATCTTCAGAGAAAAACTAGAAAGAAGGTGTCTGAGAAACTGCTTTGAGCTGGGTCCTTCATCTCACAGAGTTAAAACTTTCCTTTGAAGGAAGACTTAGAAAACACTGTATTTGTAGAATCTGCAAAGCCATATTTGAGAGTGTTTTCAAGTCTACAGTGAAAAGGAAAATATCTTCAGATAAACACTAGACAGACGCTTTCTTAGAAACTACTTTGTAAAGTGTGCATTCATCTCACAGAGTTAAACCGTTCTTTTGATGCAGCCATTTGTTAAGCCTATTTTTGTAAAAATGGTGAAGGTATATTTCGAAGCACTTTGAGGCCTTCAGTGAAAAGGGAAATATCTTTAGACAAAAACTAGAATGAAGCTTTCTGTGAAACTGCTTTGTGATGTGTACATTCATGTCACTGAGTTAAACTGTTCTTTTAATGGAGCAGTTTGGAAACATTGTTTTTGTAGTATTTGGGAATGGATATTTGGGAGTGCATTAAAGCCTGTGGTGAAACGATAAATATCTCCAGAGAAAAATTAGAAGGAAGCTTTCTGAGAAACTGCTTGTGATGTGTCCATTCATCTCACAGAGTTTAAACATTCCTTTGAATGAGCAGTTTGAAAACACTGTGTTTGCAGAATCTGTGAAGCCATACTTGGGAGTGGTTTTAGGCCTATTGTGAAAAGGGAAATATCTTCAGATAAAAACTAGACAGAAGCTTTCTGTGAAACTGCTTTATGATGTGTGCTTTCATCTCACAGATTTAAACTTTTGTTTTGGTGTAGCAGCTTGGAAACATTGTTTTTGTGTGATCAGCGAAGGGACACTTGGGAGCGCATTGAAGTCAAAGGTGAAAAGAAATATCTTCAGATAAATCTAGAAAGAAGCTCTCTGAGAAACCACTTCATGATATGTGCATTCATCTCAGTGAGTTAAAATGTCCCTTTGATGGAGCAGTTTGTTAACCCTGTTTTTGTCTAACCTGCGAATGGGTGTTTGGGAGAGCTTTGAGTCCTATGGTGAAAATGAAATATCTTCAGAGAAAAACTAGAAATAAACTTTCTGAGAAACTACTTAGTGATGTTCGCATTCATCTCACAGAGTTAAACCTTTTTTTTGATGGAGATGTTTGTAAACTCTGTCTTTGTGTCAACAGCAAACAGATATTTCTGCATGTATTGAGGCCTATGGGAAATATCTGTAGAAAAAAGTAGCATTAAGCATTTTGAGAAACTGCTTTGTGATGAGTCCATTCATCTCACTGAGTTAAACCTTACTTTTGATCGAGCAGTTTGGAAATACTGTATTTTTAGAATCTGCAAAGGGATATTTGGGAGCGGATGGGGGCCTGTTGTGAAAAATGAAATATTTTCAGAGAAAAACTAGAAAGAAGCTTTCTGAGAAACTGCTTTGTTATGTGTCCATTCATCTCACATAGCTAAACCTTTATATTGATGGAGCAGTTTGGAATCATTGTTTTTGTAGAATCTGCAAAGGGATATTTGGGAGCACATTAAGGCTCTTGGTGAAAAGAGAACTGTCATCAGAGAGAAACTTGACAGAAGCTTTCTGAGAATCTGCTTTGTGATGTGTGCTTTTATCTCACTGAGTTAAACCTTTTTTTTGGTGGGGCAGTTTGGAAACACTGTTTTTGTAGAATCTGTGAAGGGATATTTGGGAGCTCATTGAGGCCTATGGTGAAAATAAATATCTTGACAGAAAACTAAAAAGAAGCTTTCTGAGAAACTACTTTGTGATTTGTGCTTTCATCTATCAGATTTAAACCTATCTTTTCGTGTGGCAGTTTGGAAACACTCTTTTCATAGAATCTGTGAAGGAACATATGGGAACTCATTAAAGCCTATGGTGAAAAGAAAAATCTTTAGCTAAATCTAGAAAGAAGCTTTCTGAGAAACTATTTTGTGATGTGTGCATTCATCTCAGAGAGCGAAACCTTTCCTTTGAAGGAGCAGTTTAAAAACTCTGTATTTGTACAATCTGTGAAGATGTATTTGGGAGCACTTTCAGGCCTATAGGGAAAAGGGAAATAACTTCAGATATAAACTAGATAGAAACTTTCTGAGAAACTGGTTTGTGATGTGTGTTTTCACCTCACAGAGATAAACCTTTCTTTTGGTGGAGCTGTTTGGAAACAATGTTTTCATTGAATCTGTGAAGGGATATTTGGGAGTGCCTTGAGGCCTATGGTGAAAAGATATATTTTCAGATAAATCTAGAAAGAAGCTTTCTGAGAAACTATTCTATGATGTGTGCATTCACCTCACAGAGTTAAACATTTCTTTTGATGGAGCAGCTTGTAAACATGGTTTTTGTGTAATCTGCGAATGGATATTTTGGAGAGCTTTGAGTTCTATGGTGAAAAGGAAATATCTACAGAGAAAAACTAGAAAGAACCTTTTGAGAAACTACTTTGTGATGTGTGCATTCGTCTCCTGGAGTTAAACCTTTCTTTTGATGGAGCTGTTTGTAAACCCTTTTTTTGTATAAACTGTGAAGGGATATTTCAGAGTGCATTTAGGCCTACTGTGAAAATGGAGATATCTCTAGACAAAAACTAGAATGAAGCTTTCTAAGAAACTGCTTTGTGATGTGAGCATTCATCTGACAGATTTAAACCTTTCTTTTGATGGAGCAGTTTGGAAACACTTTATTTGTGGCATGTGCATGGAGATATTTGGGAGTGCATTGAGGACTTTTGTGAAAAAGGAAATATCTTCAGGGAGAAACTAGAAAGAAGCCCTGTGAGAAACTGCTTTATGATGTGTGCACTCATCTCACAGATTTAAACCTTTCTTTTGATGGAGCACTTTGGAATCAGTGTTTTTATACAATCTGCAAAGGGATATTTGGGAGTGCATTAAGGCCTGTGATGAAAAGGGAAATATCTTCACAGAAAAACTAGAAAGAAGCTTTCTGAGATACTTCTTTGTAATGTGTCCATTCATCTCACAGAATTAAATGTTACCTTTGAAGGAGTAGTTTGAAAACGGTGTATTTTTACAATCTGCAAAGGTATATTTGGGAATGGTTTCAGGCCTATGGTGAAAAGGAAATACCTTCAGATAAACACTAGACAGAAGCTTTCTGAGAAACTGTTTTTTGATGTGTGCTTTCATCTCACAGAGTTAAACCTTTCTTTTGATAGAGTAGTTTGTAAACCCTGTTTTTGTATAATCAGTGAAGGGATATTTGGGAGTGCATTGAGTCCTGTGTTGAAAAATAAATATCCCCAGAGAAAAACTAAAAAGATAATTTCTGAAAACCTACATTGTGATGTGTGCATTCATCTCACAGAGGTAAATCTTTTTTTTGATGTGGCAGTTTGTTGAGTCTGTTTTTGTAGAAACAGCAAAGGGATATTTCAGAGCACATTGAGGCCTATGGTGAAAAAGGAAATATCTTTAGACTAAAACTTGAATGAAGCTTTCTGAGAAACTGCTTTGTGATGTGTTCTTTCAACTCACTGAGTTAAAGCTTTCTTTTAATGGAGCAGCTTGGAAACACTGGATTTGTAGGATCTATGAAGGGATTCTTCTGTGCACATTGAGTTCTATTGTGAAAAGGGAAATATCTTCTGAGAAAAACTAGAAAGAATCTTTCTGAGAAACTGCTTTGTGATATGTCCATTCAGATCACAGAGTTAAACCTTTCCTTTGAAAGATCAGTTTGAAAACTCTGTATTTGTAGAATCTGTGAAGCCATATTTTGGAGCGCTTTCAGAACTATGGTGAAAAGGGAAATAACTTCAGGAAAAACTAGATAGAAGCTTTCTGAGAAACTTTTGTGATGTGTGCTTTCACCTCACAGAGTTAAACCTTTCCTTTGGTGGAGCATTTTGGAAACACTGTTTTTGTAGTATCTGCAAAGGGATATTTAGGAGTCCATTGAGGCCTATGGTGAAAAGAAATATCTTCAGATAAATCTAGAAAGAAGCTTTCTGAGAAACTACTTTGTGATGTGTGCATTCGTCTCACAGAGTTAAACCATTCTTTTGATGGTGCTGTTTGTTAACCGTGTTTTTTTTTTTTAAACTGTGAAGGGATATTTTGGAGTGCATTGGGGCCTATCGTGAAAAAGGAAATACATTTACATAAAAACTAGAATGAAGCTTTCTGAGAAACTGCTTTGTGATGCGTGCATTCATGTGACAGATTTAATCCTTACTTTTGGTGGAGCAGCTTGGAAACACTGTTTTTGTAGAACCTGCAAAGGGATACTCTGGAGTGCATTGAAGCCTATTGTGAAAAAGGAAATATGTTCAGAGAAAAACTAGAAATAAACTTTCTGAGAAACTGCTTTGTGAAGTGGACATTCATCTCACAGAGTTAAAGTTTTCTTTTGAAGGAGCAGTTTGGAAGCACTGTATTTGTAGAATCTGCGGAGGCATATTTGGAGGCACTTCCAGTCTTATGGTGAAAACGGAAATTACTTCACACAAAAAGTAGACAGAAGCGTTCTGAGAAACTGCTTTGTGTTGTGTGTTTTCTTCTCACAGAATTAAACATTTATTTATGTGGAGCAGCTTGTAAACATTGTTTTTGTTGGATCAGTGTAGGGATATTTGGGAGCTCATTGAGGCCAATGTTGAATAAGGAAATATCTTCAGATAAAAACTGAAAAAAAGCTTTGTGAGAAACTGCTTTGTGATGTGTGCAAAGATATTGCAAAGATATTTGCAATCATCTCATAGAGTAAAATCTTTCGTTTGATGGAGAAGTTTGGAAACACTGTGTTTATAATATTTGCAAACGTATATTTTGGAGCACCTTGAGACCTATGATAAAAAGGGAAATGCCTTCAGATAAAAACTAGAAAGAAGTTTTGTGAGAAACTGCTTTGTGAAGTGTGCATTCACCTCACATATTTAAAACTTTGCTTTTATGGAGCAGCTTGGAAACACTGTTTTTGTAGAATCTGAGAAGGGATTTTTGGGAGCACATTGAGGTTGATGGTGAAAAGAAATATCTTCAGAGAAAAACGAGAAAGAAGCTTTCTGAGAAACTAGTATGTGATGTGTGCATTCATCTTAGAGAAGTAAAACTTTCTTTTTAAGGAGCAGTTGGAAACACTATGTGTAGAATCTGCAAAGGCATATTTTTGAATGCTTTCAGGCATATGGTGAAAAGGCAAATATCTTCAGATAAAAACTAGAAAGATGCTTTTTGAGAAAGTTCTTTGTGATGCGTGTGCTCAACTCACAGAGTTAAACCTCTTATTTGATTGAGCAGCTTGAAAACACTATTTTTGTAGAATCTGTGATGGGATATTTGGAAGCGCATTGAAGACTATGGTGATAAAGGAAATATCTTTGCATAAAAACTAGAAGGAAGCTTTTTTGAGAAACTGCATTGTGATGTGCACATTTATCTCACAGAGTTAAACTATTTTTCTATAATCTGCAAAGTTATATCAGGTAGCCAAACAGGCCTATAGTGAAAAAGGAAATATCTTCAGATAGATATTGGAAAGAAGCTTTCTGAGACACTGATTTGTGATGTGTGCATTGATTTCACAGTGTTAAACTTTCCTTTGGTGGAGCCATTTGAAAACACCCTTTTGGCAGAATCTGCGAAGGGTTATTTTGAAGCACATTGAGGCCTACAGTGAAAAAGGAAATATCTCCAGATAAAAACTAGGAAGCAGCTTTCAGAGAAACTACTCTGTGATGTGCACATTCATCTCACAGAGTTAAACATTTCTTTTGGCTGAGCAGTTTGGAAACACTCTGTTGGTAGAATCTGTGAAGGGATACTTGGGAGCACACTGAGGCCAATGATGAAAAGCTAAATAAATTCGGGTAGAAACTACAAAGAAGTTTCGAGAAACCCCATTGTGATGTGTGCTTTCTTCACACAGATTTAAACCTTCTTTTGATTGAGCAGTTTGGAAACACTGTTTTTTAGAATCTACAATGGGATATTTGAAAGCATAGTTAGGACTATGGTGAAAAAGGAAATATCTTCAGAGAAGAACTAGACAGAAACTATCTGGGAAACTGCCTTATGATGTGAGCAGTCATCCGACATGGTTAAACCTTTCTTTTGACTGAGCACTTTGGAAACACTGTTTTTGTATAATCTGCAAAGGGATATTTGGGAGCACACTGAGGCCTATGGTGAAAAAGGCCGCATCTTCAGATAAAAACTAGAAAGAAACTTTTTGAGAAACTGCTTTGTGATGTGTGCATTGAACTCACAGAGTTAAACCTGTTTTTTGATTGAGCAGCTTTGAAACACTGTTTTCGTAGAATCTGCGATGGGATATTTGGGAGCGCATTGAATCCTATGGTGATAAAGGAAACATCTTCACATAAAAACTAGAAGGAAGCTTTTTGAGAGACTGCTTTGTGATGTGTGCATTTATCTCACAGTGTTAAACCCTTCTTTTGACTGAGGCTTTTGGAAATACTGTTTTTGCAAAATCTGCTAAGAAATATTTGGTAGCGCAAAAAAGCCTATGGTGAACATGTAAATATCTTCAGATAAAAACTTGGAAGAAAGGTTATGAGAAACTGCTTTCTGATGTGTGCATTCATCTCACAGAGGTAAGTCCTTTGATGGAACTGTTTGGAAACACTGTATTTGTAGAATCTGTGAAGGGATACCTGGGAGCACATTGAGGCCTATGGTGGAAAAGAAAATATCTTTAGAGAAGAACTAGATGGAAGCTTTGTGGCCAGGTGCAGTGGCTCATGCCTGTAATCCCAGCACTTTGGGAGGCCGAGACAAGTGGATCACAAGGTCAGGAGATCGAGACCATCGTGGCTAACATGGTGAAACCCCATCTCTATTAAAAATACAAAAGATTAGCTGGGCATGGTAGCAGGCACCTGTAGTCCCAGCTATTCAGGAGGATGAGGCAGGAGAATGGTGAGAAACCAGGAGGTGAAGCTTGCAGTGATCTGAGCTCGGGCCACTGCACTCCAGCCTGGGCAACAGAGCGAAACTCCATCTCAAAAAAAAGAAAAGAAAAAAGAAACTGCTTTGTGATGTGTACATTCATCTCACAGAGTTGAAACTTTTGATTGAGCAGTTTGTAAACACTGTTTTTGTAGAATCTGCAAAGGGATATTTGGGAGCACATTAAAGCCTATGGTGAAAAAGGAAATGCTTTTGGATAAAAACTAGAAAGAAGCTTTCTGAGAAACGGCTTTATGATGTGTGTATTCATCTCACAGAGTTGACACTTTCTTTTGATTGATCAGTTTGGAAACATTGTTTTTCTAGAATCTGCAATGGGATATTAGGGAGTGCATGAGGTCTATGCTGAAAAATTAAATAATTTCGGATAAAAACCAGAAAGAAGGTTTCTTAGAAACTGCTTTGTGATTTTTGTATTCTTCTTACAGTGTTAAACGTTTCTTTTGATTGAGTAGTTTGCAAACACTCTTTTTGTATAATCTGCAAAGGGATATTTGGGAATACACTGATGACTATGGCAAAAAAGGAAATATCTTCAGATGAAAACTAGAAAGAAGATTTTTGAGTAACTGCTTTGTGATGTATGCATTCATCTTACAGAGTTAAACTTTCTTTTGACTGAGCAGTTTGGAAACACTGTTTTTGCAAAATCTGTGAAGCAATATTTGGTAGCACAAAGAAGGCTATCATGAACAAGGAAATATCTTTAGATAAAATCTGTGAAGAAGCATTATGAGAAACTGCTTTCTGATGTGTGCATTAATCTCATAGAGTTAAGTCTTCCTTTTGATGGATCAGTTAGAGACACTGTTTTTGTAGAATCTTCGAAGGGAGATTGGGAGCTCATTGAGGCCTATGGTGGAAAAGGAAATATCTTCAGATAATAACTAGACAGAAACATTCTGATAAACTGCTTTGTGATGCCTGAATTCATCTCACACAGTTAAACCTTTCTGTTGATTGGGCAGTTTTGAAACACTGTTTTTGTAGAATCTGCGAAGGGATATTTGGGAGTGCATTGAAGCCTATGGTGAAAAAGGAAATATCTTCAGATAAAAAGAAGAGAGAAACTTTTTGACAAACTGCTTTGCTATGTGTGCATTCATCTCACAGAGTTAAATTTTTCCTTTAATTGATCAGTTTGGAAACAATGTTTTTGTAGAAATCTGAGAAGGGATATTTTGGAGTGCTTGAGGCCTGTGGTGAAAAAGAAAATAACTTCAGATAAAAACTAGAAAGAAGCTTTATGAGAAACCATTTTGTGATGTGTGCATTCTTTTCACACACTTAAACGTTTCTTTTGATAGAGCACTTTGGAAAAACTGTTTTTGTAGAATCTGCAAAGGGATTTTTGCAAGTGCACTGATGCCTATGGTGACAAAGGAAATATCTTGGGAAAAAAACTAGAAAGAAGATTTTGAGATAGTGCTTTGTGATGTATGCACTCATCTCACAGAGTTAAACTTTTCTTTTGCCTGAGTAGTTTGGAAACCCTGTTTCTTTGTATAATCTGCAAAGTGATATTAGGTAGTGCAAAAAGGCCTATGGTGAACAAGGAAATAGCTTCTGATAAAAACTGGAAAAAAAGTGTTATGAGAAACTGCTTTCTGAAGTGTGTGTTTGTCTCACACAGTTAAGTCCTTCTTTTGATGGAACAGTTTGGAAACACTGTTTTTGCAGAATCAGTGAAGGGATATTTGGGAGTGCTTTGAGGCCTATGTTGGAAAAGGAATTATCTTCAGAGAAGAACTAGACAGAAGCTTCCTGAGAAACTCCTTTGTGATGTGTGCATTCGTCTCACAGAGTTAAAACTTTCTTTTGATGGAGCAGTTTGGAAACACTGCTTTAGTAGAATCTGTGAAGTCATATTTGGGGATGCATTAAAGCCTATGGTGAAGAAGGAAATATCTTTAGATAAAAACTAGAAAGAAGCTTTTTGAGAAACTGCTTTGTGATGTGTGCATTCATCTTACAGCATTAACCCTTTCTTTTCATTGGTCTCTTTGGAAACACTGTTTTGGTAGAATCAGCAAAGGGATATTTGTTAGCCCAGGAATATTTTTGAGCACTTTGAGGCCTATGTTGAAAAAGGAAATATCTACAGATAAAAACTAGAGAGCAGCTTTCTGAGAAACTGCTTTGTGATGTGTGCATTCTTCTCAAAAAGTTAAATCTTTCTTTTGATTGAGCAGTTTGAAAATACTGCATTTGTAGATTCTGCAAAGGGACATTTCACTGAATTTGCACTGAAGCCTACGGTGTAAAAGGAAATATCTTCGGATGAAAACCAAGAAAGAAGCCTTTTGAGAAAGCGCTTTGTGATGTATGCATTCATCTCACATATTTGACCTTTTCTTTTGACTCAGCAGTTTAGAAACACTGTTTTTGTATAATCTGTGAAGCAATGTCAGGTCACACAACAGGAGTATGGTGAACAAGGAAATATCTTCAGATAAAAACTGGAAAGAAGTGTTATGAGGAACTGCTTTATGATGAGTGCAATCATCTCACAGAGTTAAATCCTTCTTTTGATGGAACAGTTCAGAAATACTGTTTTTATAGAATCTCCGAAGGGATATTTAGGAGCACACAGAGGGCTATGGTGGAAAAGGAAATAACTTCAGAGAAGAAGTAGACAGAAGCTATCTGAGAAATTGCTCTTTGATGTGTGCATTCATTTCACAGAATTAAACTTTCTTTTGATTGAGCAATTTGGAAACACTGTTTTTGTAGAATCTGCAAGGGTATATTTGGGAGTGCACTTAAGCCAATTGTGAAAAAGGAAATATCTTCAGATAAGAACTACAAGGAAGTTTTTGAGAAACTGCTTTGAGATGTGCACATTAAACTCACAGAGGTCAACCTGTTTTCTGATTCAGCAGTTTGGAAACACTGTTTTTGTAGAATCTGCAAAGGAATATTTCGGAACGCATTGAGGCCTATGGTGAAAAAGGAAATATAATCAGAGAAGAACTAGAAAGAAGCTTTCTGAGAAAATTCTTTGCATTGTTTGCATTCATCTGACAGATTTAAGCCTTTCCTTTTATTGAGCAGTTTGGAAATACTGTTTTTGTAGAATAACAGAAGGGATATTTTGACACACATTGAAGGCTAGTATGTAAAAAGAAATATCTTCAGATAAAAACTAGAGAGAAATTTTTTGAGTAACTGCTTTTTGATGTTTGCATTCATCTCACAGATTTAAACCTTTGTTTTGATTGAGCAGTTTGGAAAAACTTTTTTTGTAGATTCTGCAAAATGGGAAATTTGGGAGCTCATTGAAGCCTACAATGAAAAAGGAAATATCTTCTGATAAAAACTAGAAAGAAGCATTCTGAGACACTGCTTTGTGATGTGTTCACTCATCTCACTGAGTTCATCTTTTCTTTTGATGGAGAAGTTTGGAAACACTGTTTCTCTAGAATCTGTGAAGGGATATTTTTGAGCACAGGGATATTTTTCAGTGCATTGAGGCCTATGTTATTTTTTTTTTGGTATTTATCTTGTATTCTTTTTTAATTTTATTTTATTATTATTATACTTTAAGTTTTAGGGTACATGTGCACAATGTGCATGTTAGTTATGTATGTATACATGTGCCATGCTGGTGTGCTGCACCCATTAATTCGTTATTTAGCTTTAGGTATATCTCCTAATGCTATCCCTCCCCCCTCCCCCATTCCACAACAGTCCTCATAGTGTGATGTTCCCTTTCCTGTGTCCATGTGTTCCCATTGTTCAATTCCCACCTATGAGTGAGAACATGTGGTGTTTGGTTTTTTGTCCTTGTGATAGTTTACTGAGAATGATGATTTCCAATTTCATCCATGTCCCTATAAAGGACATGAACTCATCCTTTTTTATGGCTGCATAGTATTCCATGGTGGATATGTGCCACATTTTCTTAATCCAGTCTATCATTGTTGGATATTTCGGTTGGTTCCAAGTCTTTGCTATTGTGAATAGTGCCACAATAAATATAAGTGAGCATATGTCTTTATAGCAGCATTATTTATAGTCTTTTGGGTATATACCTAGTAATGGGATGGCTGGATCAAATGGTATTTCTAGATCTAGATCCCTGAGGAATTGCCACACTGACTTCCACAATGGTTGAGCTAATTTACAGTCCCACCAACAGTGTAAAAGTGTTCTTATTTCTCCCCATCCTCTCCAGCACCTGTTGTTTCCTGACTTTTTAATGATTGCCATTCTAACTGGTGTGAGATGGTATCTCCTTGTGCTTTTGATTTGCCATTCTCTGATGGAGGCCTATGTTGAAAAAGCAAATATCTTTACATAAAAACTAGAGAGAAGATTTCTGGAAACTGCTCTGTTATGTGTTCATTCTTCTCCCAGAGTTAAATCTTTATATTGATTGAGCAGTTGGAAATACTGTTCTGGTAGAATCTGCAAAGGTGTATTTTGGAGCATATTGAGGCCGATTATGAAAAAGGAAATATCTTCGGATATTTTCTAGAAAGAAGCTTTTTGAGAAGCTGCTTTGTTATGAGTGTGTACATCTCACAGAGTTAAGCTTTTTTTTATTGAGCAGTTTGGAAACACTGTCTTTCTAGAATCTGCAAAGGGATATTTGGGAGCACATTGAAGCCTATGTTGAAAAAGGAATATCTGTGGATAAAAAATAGAAAGAACCTTTTTGAGAAACTGCTTTGTGATATATGCATTCATCTCAAACAGTTAAACTTTTTATCTGACAGAACAGTTTGGAAATACAGTTTGTGTATAATCTGCGAAGAGATGTTAAGTAGCGCAAAAAGGCCTATGGTGAACAAGGAAATATCTTCAGATAAAAACTGGAAAGAAGTTTCATGAGAAACTGCTTTCTGATGTGTGCTTTCATCTCACAGAGTTAAATCCTTTTTTTGGTGGAACAGTTCAGAAACACTGTTTTTTGTAGAAGCTGCAAAGGGATATTTGGAAGCCCATTAAGGCCTATGGTGGAAAAGGAAATATCATCAGAGAAGTAGACAGAAGCTTTCTGAGAAACTGCTTTGTGATGTGTGCATTCATTTCACAGAGTTAAACATTTCTTTTGATTGAGCAGTTTTTAAACACTGTATTTGTGGGATCTGCAAAGGGATATTTAGCAGTGCCTTTGGCCCAAGGGTGAAAAAGGAAATATCATCAGAGAACAACTAGAAAGAAGCTTTCTGAGAAACTTCTCTGTGATGTTAGCATTCATCTCACAGAGTTAAGCCTTTCTTTAGAGCAATTTGGAAACACTGTTTTTGAAGGGTCTGCGAAGGGTTATTTGGGAGTTCATTGAGGCCTAGGTTTGGAAAGGAAATACCTTTAGAAAAAAACTAGACAAAAGTTTTTTGAGAAACTTCTTTGTGATGTTTGCATTCATCTAAAAGATTTAAAGCTTTCTTTTGATTGAGCAGTTTGGAAATACTGCTTTTGCAGAATCTGTGATGGGATATTTTGGAGCACATTGAAGCCAATAGTGATAAAGGAAATATCTTCAGATAAAAACAAGTAAGAAGCTTTCTGAGAGACAGCTTTGTCATACATGCATTCATTTCACAGATTTAAAGCTTTCTTTTGATTGAGCAGTTTGAAAACACTGTAGTTGTAGGGTTTGCGAGTGAAGGGATATTTGGGAGTGGATTGAGACCTATTGTGGAAAAGGAAATGTCTTCTGAAAAAAACTAACAGAAGTTTTCTGAGAAACTGCTTTGTGATGTGTTCACTCAGCTCATGGAGCTAAATCTTTATTTTGATTGAGAAGTTTGGAAACAATGTTTTTGTTAAATCTTTAAAGGGATATTTTTGAGTGCAGGGATATTTTTGAGTGCATTGAGGCCTAAGTTGAAAAAGGAAATGTCTTCAGATTGAAACTATAGAGAAACTATATGGGAAAGTGCTTTGTGATGTGTGCATTCTTCTCACAGAGTTAAACCTTTCTTTTGACTGAGCATTTTTGAAACATTGTTATTGTAGAATTTGTAAAGGTATATTTGGGATCACATTGAGGCTTATGGTGGAAAAGGAAATATCTTCAGAGAAGAACTAGATAGAAGCTATCTCAGAAATATCTTTGTGAAGTATGCATTCATTTCACAGAGTTAAACTTTTCTCTTGATTGACCAGTTTGGAAACATTATTTTTGGAGAATCTGAAAACGTATATTTTGTAGTGCATTGAGGCCTGGGGTGAAAAAGAAAATGTATTCGGATAAAAAGTAAAAAGAAGCTTTTTGAGAAACTGCTTTGTGATGTGTGCATTCAACTCACAGAGTTAAACCTGTTTTTTCATTGAGTAGTTTGGAAAAAGTGTTTTTCTAGAATCTACAAACAGATATTTGAGAGCACATTGCGACCTCTGATGAAAAAGGAAATGTCATCAGAGAAGAACTAAAAAGAAGCTTTCTGAGAAACTACTTTCTGATGTGTGCATTCATCTGACAGAGTTAGACCTTTCCTTTGTTTGAGCAGTTTGGAATCACTGTTTTGGTAGAATCTAACACAGGATATTTGGGATTGCACTGACCCAATGGTGAAAAAGGAAATAACTAACTTTGGATAAAAACTACAAAGAAGCTTTCTGAGAAACAGTTTGTGATGTGTGCATTCTTCTCAAAGATTTAAACCATTCTTTTGATTGAGCAGTTTGGAAACAGTGTTTTTGTAGAATCTGCAATGGGATATTTGAAAGCACAGTTAGGACTGTGGTGAAAAAGGAAATATGTTCAGATAAAAACTACAAAGAAGGTTTTTGAGAAACTGCTCTGTGATATGTGCATTCATCTCAAAGAGTTAAACCTTTCTTTTGACAGAGCAGTTTGGAAACACAGTTATTGTGTAATCTGCAAAGGGATATAAGTAGTGCAAAAAAGCCTATGGTAAAAAAGGAAATATCCTCAGAGAAAAACTGGAAAGAAGCATTATCAGAAATTACTTTCTGATGTGTGCATTCATCTCACAGAGTTGAACATTTCTTTTGATAGAGCAGTTTCAAAACCCTGTTTTTCTATAATCTGCGAAGTTATATTAGGTAGCACGAAGGAGCCTATGGTGAAAAAGGAAACATCTTTAGATAAAAACTGTAAATAATCTTTCTGAGACAGTGATTTGTGATGTGTGCATACACTTCACAGTGTTAAATCTTTCCTTTATTGGAGCTATTTGGAAACATCCTTTTTGCAGAATCTGTGAAGGGTTATTTTGGAGCACATTGAGGCCTATGGTGAAAAACGAAATAACTCCAGATAAAAACAAGAAGGAAGTTTTCTGAAAAACTACTCTGTGATGTGTGCACTCATGTGACAGAGTTAATCATTTCTTTTGATTAAGCCATTTAGAAAAACTGTTTTGGTAGAATCTATGAAGGGATTTTTGGGAGCACAGTGAGGCCTGTGGTAATAATTTTGAATGAAAACTGCAGAGAAGATTTCTGAGAAATAGCTTGCTGATGTGTGCATTCTTCTCATAGATTTAAACCTTTCTTTTTATTGAGCAGTTTGGAAACACTGCTTTTATAGAATCTGCAATGGGACATTTGAAAGCACTGTTAGGCCAATGATGAAAAAGAAAATATCTTTGGATAAAAAGTAGAAATAATTTTTGAGAAATTGCTTTGAGATGTGTGCCTTCATCTCAGAGGGGAAAACTTTCTTTTGAATGAAGAGTTTGGAAACACTGTTTTTGTATAACCTGTGAAGTGATATTAAGTGGTGCAAAAAAGCCAGCGGTTAAAAAGGAAATATATTCAGATAAAAACTGGAAAGGAGTGTTAAGAGAAACTGCTTACTGATGTGTACGTTCGTCTCACAGACTGAAGTCCTTTTTTTGATGGAACAGTTTGGAAACACTGTTTTTACAAAACCTGTGAAGCAATATTACATAGCACAAAAAAGCCTATGGTGAAAAAGGAAATATCTTCAGATAAAAACTGGAAAGAAGCATTATGAGAAACTGCTATCTGATGTGTGCATGCATCTCACAGAGTTAAGTCCTGCTTTTATTGGAACAGTTAGGAAAGACTGTTTTTGTAGAAACTGTGAAAGGATATTTGGGAGTGCATTGAGTCCTATGGTAGAAAGATAAATATCTTCAGAGAAGAACAAGACAGAAGCTATCTGAGAAAGTGCTTTGTGATGTGGGCATTCTTCTCACAGAGTTAAACGTTTCTATTGATTGAGCAGTTCGGAAAAACTATTTTTGTAGGATCTGCAAAGGGATATTAGGGAGTACAATTATGCCTATGGTGAAAAAGGAAATATCTTTGGATAAAGACTAGAAACAAGCTCTTTGAGAAACTGCTTCATGATGTCTGCATTCTTCTCACATAGTTGAATTTTTCTTTTGACTGAGAAGTTTGGAAACACTATTTTTCCATAATCTGTGTTAGGTAGCACAAAAATTCCTATGGAGAACAATGAAATATCTTCAGATAAAAATGGAAAGTAGTGTTAATAGAAACTGATTTCTGATGTGTTTGATCATCTCACAGAGTTAAATCCTTCTTTTGATGGGACAGTTTGGAAACACTATTTTTGTAGAATCTGCAAAGATATATTTGGGAGTACACCAAGGCCTATTGTGAAAATGGAAATATCTTCAGATAAAACCTGAAAGAAGCTTTTTGAGAAACTGCTTTGTGATGTGTGCATTCAACTCTCATAGTTAAACCTGTTTTTTGATTGAGGAGTTTGGAAACACTGCTTTTGTAGAATCTGCAATGGGATATTTGAAAACGCAGATAGGCCTATGGTGAAAAAGGAAATTTTTCAGATTAAAACTAGAGATAAGCTTTTTCAGAAACTGCTTTGTGATGTGTGTATTCATTTTACAATGTTAAACCTTCCTTTTGACTGAGAGTTTGGAAACACTGTTTTTGCAAATTCTGCAAAGCGATATTAGTTAGCCCCAAAAAAGCCTATGGTGAGCAAGGAAATATCTTGATAAAACCTGGAAAAAAGCTCTATGAGAGATTTCTTACTGATGTGTGCATTCATCTCACAGAGTTAACTCCTTCTTTTGATGGGACAGTTTGGAAACACTGTTTTTGTAGAATCTGTGAAGGGATATTTGGGAGAGCAATGAGGCTTACGGTGAAAAAGGAAATATCTTCAGATAAAAACTAGAAAGAAGTTTTATGTGAAGCTGCTTTGTTATGTCTGTGTTCAACTCCCATAGTTAAACCTGTTTTTTGATTGAGCAGCTTGGAAACACGGTTTCTCTAGAATCTGCAATGGCATATTTGGGAGCACATGGAATCCTATGGTTAATAATGAAATACCTTGGGATAAAAACTGGAAAGAAGCTTTTTGAGAAACTGCTCCAAAATGTGTGCATTCCTCTTACAGAGTTAAACCTTTCTTTTGACAGAGCAGTTCAGAAACACTGTTTTTGCAAAATGTGCAAAGCAATAATACACAGTGCAAAAATGCCTATGGTGAACAAAGAAATATCTTCAGATAAAAACTGGAAAGAAGCATTATGAGGAACTGCTCTCTGATGTGTGCCTTTATCTCACAGAGTTAAATCCTTCTTTTCATGGAACAGTCCGGAAACACTTTTTATAGACTCTGCTTAGGGATATTTAGGAGCGCTTTGCAGCCTATAGTGGAAAAAGGAAATATCTTCAGATAAAAACTAGATAGAAGCTTTTTGAGAAACAGCTTTGTGATGTGTGAATTCATCTGACAGAGTTAAACTTTTCTTTTGATTGAGCTGTATGGAAACACTGTTTTTGCAAAAATCTGAGATCCAATATTTGGAAGTGCAGAATAAGCCTATGGTGAAAAAGGAAATATCTTCCAATAAAACTGGAAAGAACCATTATGAGAAACTGCTTTCAGATGTGTGCATTCATCTCACAGAGTTTAGTCATTCTTTTGATGGAACAGTTTGGAAACACTGCCTTGTAGAATCTGCAAAGGTGCATTTGTGAATGCATTGAGACCTACTGTGGAAATTGAAATATCTTCAGATAAACAGACTGAAGCTTTCTGAGAAACTTCTTTGGATGAATACATAAATCTCACAAAGTTAAAACTTTCTTTTGATTGAGCAGTTTGGAAACACTGCTTTTTTTGGAAAATCTGCAAAGGGATATTTGGGATCTCACTGACGCCAACATTGAAAAAGGAAATATCTTCTGATAAAAACTAGAAAGGAGTTTTCTGAGAACTGTTTTGTGATGTGGGCATTTGTCTCACAGAGTTAAACCTTTCTTTTGATTGATCAGTTTTTTAAACATTGTTTTTGTAGAATCTGTGCAGGGATATTTGGGAGTGCATGAGGCCTATGGTGAAAAAGGAAATAACTTCAGATAAAACTAGAAAGAAGCTTTCTGACAAACTGCTTTGTGATGTGTACATTTTTCTCTCAGAGGTAAACATTTCTTTGGATTGAGTGATTTGGAAACACTGTTTTTGTAGAATCTGTGAAGGGATATTCGAGAGTGCATGAGGCCTTTTGTGAAAAAGGAAATAACTTCAGATAAAACAAGAAAGAAGTTTTCTGAGAAACTGCCTTATGAAGTGTGCATTCTTGTCTCAGAAATAAAAGTTTCTTTGGATTGAGCAGTTTGGAAAAACTTTTGTAGAATTTGTAATTGAATATTTTGGAGATCACTGATGCCTTTCGTGAAAAGGGAAATATATTCAGATAAAAACTAGAAAGAAAATTTTTGAGATACTTCTTTGTGATATATGCATTCCACTCACAGATTTAAATTTTTCCTTTGACTGAGATGTTTGGAAACACTGTTTTTGTATAACCTGCAAAGCAATGTTAGGCAGCTAAAAAGGCCTTTGGTGAAAAAGGAAATATCTTCATATAAAAACTGGAAAGAAGCATTATGAGAAACTACTTTCTGATGCGTGATTTCATCTCACAGAGTTAAGGCCTTCTTTTGATTGAACAGTTTGGAAACACTGTTTTTGTAGAATCTGTGAAGGGATATTTGGGAGTGCATTGAGGCCTATGGTGGAAAAGGAAATATCTTAAGAGAAGAACTAGATAGAAACTTTTTGAGAAACTGCTTTGTGATGTGCATATTCATCTACCAGAGTTAAACCTTTATTTTGATAGAGCAGTTTGGAAACACTGTTTTTGTATTATCTATGAACTGAAATTAGGAAGCGGATAGAGGCATATGGTAAAAACTAAATATCTTCACATAAAAACTGGAAAGAAGCTTTCTGACACACTGATTTGTGACGTGTTCATACATTTCACAGTGTTAAATCTTTCCTTTGATGGAGCCATTTGGAAACACCCTTTTGGCAGAATCTGCGAAGAGTTATTTTGGAGCTCATTAAGGTCTATGGTGAAAAAGGAAATATCTCCAGATAAAAACCAGAAAGAAGCTTTCTGAAAAACTGATGTGTGCATTCCTCAGACAGAGTGAAATCTTTCTTTTGAATGAGCTGTTTGGAAAGAGTGTTTTGGTAGAATCTGTGAAGGGATATTTGGGAGCGCACTGTGGCCTATGGTGAAAAAAGAAATACATTCTGATAAAAACTAGAAAGGAGCCTTTTGAGAAACTGCTTTGTGATGTGTGCAGTCAACTCAGAGAGTTAAAACTGTTTTTTGATTGAGCAGTTTGGAAACACTATTTTTGTAGAATCTGCAATGTGATATTTGAAAGGGCAATTAGGCTTATGATGAAAAAGGAAATATATTTAGATAAAAACTAGAAAAGCTTTTTGAAAAACTATTTTGTGATGTGCACATTCATCTCAAAGAGTTAAACATTTCTTTTGAATGAGGAGTTTGGAAACAGTTTTTGCATAATCTGCGAAGCAATTTTATGCAGTATAAAAAGGCCTATCATGAACACTGAAATATATTCAGATAAAAACTGCAAAGAAACGTTATGAGAAACTGCTTTCTGATGTATGTGTTCATCTCACAGAGTTAAGTCCTTCTATTGATGGAACAGTTTGGAATCACTGTTTTTGTAGAATCTGTGAAGGGATATTTGGGAGTGCATTGAGGCCTAAGATGAAAAATGAAATATCTTGAAACAGAAGTAGACAGAAGCTTTCTGAGAAACTGCTTTATCATGAGTGTATTCACCTAACAGAGTTAAAGCTTTCTTCTGATTTAGCAGTTTGGAATCTCTGTTTTTGTAGAATCTGCGAAGGGATATTTGGGAGCACTTTGAAACCTATGGTGAAAAAAGAAATATCTTCAGATAAAAACTAGAAAGAAGCTATCTGATAAACTGCTTTGTGATGAGTGCGTTCCTCTCCTCTCACATAGTTAAACCTTTCTTTTGATGGAGCAGTTTGGAAACACTGTTTTTGGAGAATCCACTATGGTATAATTGGGAGAGCACTGAGGCCTATGGTGAAAAGGGAAATATCTTTGGATAAAAACTAGAAAGAATCTTTTGAGAAACTGCTTTGTGATGTGTGCATTCATCTCACAGAGTTAAACCTTTCTTTTGATTGATGAGTTTGGACACACTGTTTTTGCAGAATCTGAGAAGACATATTTGGGAGTGCATGAGACCTATGGTGAAAAAAGGAATATATTTGGATAAAAATAAGAAAGACGATTTTTGAGAAAATGCTTTATGATGTGTCCATTCAACTAACAGAGTTAAACCCGTTTTCTTGATTGAGCAGTTTGGAAACACTGTTTTTGCAGAATCTACGATAGGATATTTGGGAGCTCATTGAAGCCTATGATGATAAAGGAAATATCTTCTGATAAAAACTAGAAAGAATCTTTTTGAGAAACTCCTTTGTGCTCTATGCATTCATATCACAGAGTTAACCTTTCTTTTGTCTAAGAAGTTTGGAATCACTATTTTTGCAAAATCTGAGAAGCGATATTTTACAGCACAAAGAACCTATGGTGAAAAAAGAAATATCTTCAGATAAAAACTGGAAAGAAGTATTATGAGAAACTGCTTTCTGATATGTGCATTCAACACACAGATTATGTGCCTCTTTTAATCAAACAGCTTTGTGAGGAACCGCTTTTTGATGTGTGCATTCTTCTCACAGAATTTAACTTTTCCTATGGCTGAGCACTTTGGAAACACTATTTATGTAGAATTTGCAAACTGATATTTGGCAGTGCACAGATGCCTATGGTGAAAAAGGAAATATCTTCGGATAAAAAGTAAAAAAAACTTTTAGAGAAATGGATTTGAGATATATACACTCATCTCACAGAGTTAAACTTTCCTTTTGACTGAGCAATTTGGAAACACCATCTTTTATTAACTGTGAAGCGATGTTATGTAGTGCCAAATGGCCTATGGTGAACTAAGAAATAGCTTCAGATAAAAACCGGAAAGAAGCATTATGGGAAACTGCTTTCAGATGTGTGCATTCATCTGACAGACTTAAGTCCTTCTGTTGATGGAAGAGTTTGGAAACCCTGTTTTTGTAGAAGCCGCAAAGAGATATTTGGGATCTCATTGAGGCCTATAGTGGAAAATGAAATATCTTCAGAGAAGAACTAGATGGAAGCTTTCTGGGAAACTACTTTGTGATGTATGCATTCATCTCACAGAATTAAACTTTTCTTTTGACTGGTCCATTTAGTAACAATGTTTTTCTATGGTCTGTGAAATGATGTTAGTAAAAAAGGCCCATGGTGAATAAGGAAATATCTTCAGAAAAAAAACTAGAAAGAAGCGTTATGAGAAACTGGTTTATGAAGTGTGCCTTCACATCACAGACTTAAGTCCCTCTTGTCCCTCTTTTGATGGAACATTTCAGAAACCCTGGTTTTGTAGAATCTGCGAATGGGTATTAGGGAGCACAATGAGGCCTATGGTGGAAAAGGAAATACCTTCAGAGAAGAACAAGATAGAAGCTATCGAAGAAACTGTTTTGTGATATGCTCATTCATTTCACAGACTTAAATCTTTCTTTTGTTGGAGCTGTTTGCAAACATTGTTTTTGTAGAAGCTGCAAAAGTATATTTTGGAGTGCACTGAGGCCTATGGTGAAAAAGGAAATATCTTCAGATAAAAGCCAGAAAGAAGATTTTGAGAAACTGCTTTGTCTTCTGGTTGTTCACCACACAGAGTTAAACCTGTTGTTGATTGAGCAGTTTGGAAACAGTGTTATTGTGGAATCTACAATGGGATATTTGGGAGCACATTGAAGCTAATGGTGATAAAGGAAATATCTTCGGATAAAAACTAGAAAGAAGCTTTTTGAGAAACAGCTTTGTGATATGTGCATTCATCTCACAGAGTTAAACCTTTGTTTTGATTGAGCAGTTTGGAAACACTGTTATTGTAGAATCTGTGAAGGTGTATTTTGGTGCACACTAAAGCTTATGTTGAAAAATGAAATATCTTCAGATAAAAACTAGAAAGAAGGTTTTTGAGAAACTGCTTTGTGATGTGTGCATTCATCTCACAGAGTTAAACCTTTCTATTGATTGATGAGTTTGGAAGCACTGATTTGTAGAATATGCAAAGGGATATTTGGGAGCCCATGATGCCAGTGGTGCAAAAGGAAATAATTTCATATAAAAACTAGAAAGTAGCTTTCTCTGAATCTACTTTGTGATGTGTGCATTCTTCTCACATAGTTAAACATTTCTTTAGATTCAGCAATTTGGAAACACTGTTTTTGTAGAATCTGCAAAGGGATATTTGGGAGGACACTGATGCCTCTGGTGACAAAGGAACTATCTTCAGATAAACACAAAAAAGAAGCTTTTTGAGAAACTGCTTTGTCATGTATGCATTCATCTCACAGAGTTAAACTTTTCTTTTGAATGAGCAGTTTGGAAACTCTGTTTTTGTACAATCTGTGAAGTGATGTTAAGTTGTGCAAAAATTCCTACAGTAAACAGGGAAATATCTTCACATAAAAACTGCAAATAAGCGTTATGAGAAACTGCTTTCTGATGTGTCTGTTCATCTTACAGAGTGAAGTCCTTCTTTTGATGGGACAGTTTGGAAACACTGATTTGTAGAATCTGCAAAGGGATATTTGGGAGTGCATTGAGGCCTATTGTGGAAAAGGTAATATCTTAAGAGAAGAACTGGACAGAAGTTTTCTGAGAAATTGCTTTGTGATGAGTGCAATCATCTCACAGAGTTAAACCTTTCTTTTGATTGAGCAATTTGGAAACACTAGTTTGGAGAATCTGCGAAGGGATATTTGGGAGTGCATTGAAGCCTATGGTGATAAAAAAGGGAAGTATATTTGGATTAAAAACCTGAAAGAACCTTTTTGAGAAACTGCTTTGTAATGTGTGCATTCATCTCAGAGAGTTAAACATTTCTTTTGATTGATCAGTTTGGAATTACTGTTTTTCTAGAATCTGTGAAGGGATATATGTGAGCACTCAAGGCTAATGGTGAAAAAGGAAATAAGTTCAGATAAAAACTGGAAAGAAGCTTTTTGAGAAACTTTTTTGTAATGTAAGCATTCAACTCACAGACCTAAATTTTTCTTTTGACTGAGCATTTTGGAAACAATTTTTTTTGTAATCTGTGAAGTGCAGTCAAGTAGCGCACAAAGCCTCTGGTGAACAAGGAAATATTCTTAGATAAAAATTGGAAAGAGTAGTTATGAGAAACTGCTTTCTGATGTGTGCGTTCATCTCACAGAGTTAAGCCTTTCTTTTCATTCAGCAGTTTGGAAACACTGTTTTTGAAGTATCTTCAAAGGTATATTTCAGAGCACACTGAGGTCTACGGTGGAAAAGGAAATATCTTCAGAAAAAAACTAGACAAAATATATCTGAGAAACTGCTTTGTGATGTGTGCATTCAACTTGCAGAGTTAAACATTTTTCTGATTGAGCAGTTTGGAAATGCTGTTTTTGTAGAATCTGCAGAGGGATATTTGGGAGTGCATTTAAGCCTATGGTGACAAAGGAAATATCTTTGGATAAAAACAAGAAAGATACATTTTGAGAAACTGCCTTGTGATGTGTGAATTCATCTCACAGAGTTAAACCTTTCTTTTGATTGATCAGTTTGGAAACACTGTTTTTGTAGAATCTACGAGTCGATATTTGGGAGCTCATGAGGCCCATGCTGAAAAAGGAAATAACTTCAGAGAAAAACTAGAAAGAAGCATTTTGAGAAACTGCTTTGTGATGTGTGCATTCTTCTCATGGAGTTAAACTTTTATTTTGATTGAGTAGTTTGGAAACACTCTTTTTGTAGAATCTGCAAAGGGATATTTGGGAGCACGTTGAAGCCTATGGTGATAAAGGAAATATCTTCTGATAAAAAACAGAAAGATAGTTTTTGAGAAACTGGTTTCTGATGTATGCATTCATCTCACAGAGTCAAACTTTTATTTTGACAGAGCTGTTTGGAAACACTGTTTTTGTATAATCTGTTAAGTGATTTTTGGTAGCTCAAAAAAGCCTATGGTGAACAAGGAAGTGTCATCAGATAAAAACTGGAAAGAAACATTATAAGAAACTGCTTTCTGATGAGTGTGCTCATCTCACTGAGTTAAATACTTCTTTTGATGGAACTGTTCAAAAACCCTGTTTTTATAGAATCTGTGTAGGGTTATTTGGGAGTGCATTGAGGACTATTGTGGAAAAGGAAATACCTTCAGAGAAGAACTAGACAGAAGCCATCTGATTAACTCCTTTGTGAAGTGTGCATTTATCTCACAGAGTTAAATCTTTCTTTTGAATGAGCATTTTTGAAACCCTGTTTTTGTAGAGTCTGCAAAGGTATATTTGGGAGCACACTGAGGCCTATGCTGAAAAAGAAAATATCTTCGGATAAAAACCAGAAGGAAGATTTTTGAGAAACTGCTTTGTGATGTGTGCATTCAACACATAGAATTAATCTCGTTTTTTGATTCAGCTGTTTGGAAACACTGTATGTGTGGAATCTGTGAGGTGATGTTTGGAAGTGCATTGAAGCTTATGGTGATAAAGGAATTATCCTCAGATAAAAACTAGAAAGAACTTTTTGGAAACTGCTTTGTGATGTGGGCATTAATCTCACAGAGGTAAACCTTTCTTTGAGCAGTTTGGATACACGGTTTTTGCAAAATCTGTGAAGCAATATTTGGTAACGCAAAACACCTATGGTGAACAAGGAAATATATTCAGATACAAACTGGAAAGAAGGGTTATTTGAAACTTCTTTCTGATGGGTGCATTCATCTCATAGACTTAAGCCCTTCCTTTGATAGAACAGTTTGGAAAGACTGTTTTTATACAATCTGTGAAGCGATATTTTGGAGGGCATTGAGGCCTATTGTGGAAAAGGAAATATCTTCAGATAAGAAATTGACAGAAACTTTCTGAGAAACTGCTTTGTGATGTGTACATTCACCATACAGAGTTTAAATTTTCTTTTGATTGAGGAGTTTGGAAACACTGTTTTTGTAGAATCTGGGAAGGGATATTTGGTCGTGAATGAGACCTATATTGAAAAAGGAAATAACTTTAGATAAAAACTGGAAACAAGCTTTCTGAGAAAATGCTTTGCCATATGTTCATTCTTTTCACAGAGTCAAACATTTCTATTGATTGTGCAGTTTGGAAACACTGTTTTTGCAGAATCTGCAAAGGGATATTTGAGAGCACACTGATGCCTATGGTGAAAAAAGGAAATGTCTTCAGAGAAAAAGAGTAAGAAACTTTTTGAGAAACTGCTTTGTGAAGTGTGCATTCGTCTCCCAGACTTAAAATTTTCTTTTAATGGAGCAGTTTGGAAACACTGTTTTTATATAATCTGTGAAGCAATGTTAGGTAGCACAAAAAGGGCTATAGTGAACAAGGAAATATCTTCGCATAAAAACTGGAATTAAGTGTTATGTGAAACAGCTTTCTGATGTGTACATTAATCTCCCTGAGTTAAATCCTTCTCTTGATGGGACAGTTTGGAAACACTGTTCTTATAGAATCTGTAAAGGGGTATTTAGGAGTGAATTGAGGCCTTTTTTGGAAAAGAAAAAATATCTTCAGAGAAGAACTATACAGAAACTATATGAGAAACTGCTTTGTGATGTGTGCATTCATCTCACAGAGTAAAATCTTTCTTTTGATTGAGTGGTTTGGAAACACTGTGTTTGTAGAATCTGAAAAGGCATATTTCGGAGCACCCT